>NC_000003.12:129008604-129160119 GCF_000001405.40 Homo sapiens | reverse complement strand
CGGGAGGCGGAGTTTGCAGTGAGCCGAGATCGCGCCACTGCACTCCAGCCTGGGCGACAGAGCGAGACTCCGTCTCAAAGAAAAAAAAAAAAAGTAGTAGCCGTTTCTGTGAGAAGGTATATCCCAAATTACTGCGGTGTTTGCCTATCTACCAAGCATTTGCCAAGTTTGTTTCTGTGTCAGTTGAAGGGGAGAATCTCAAAAGAGATTTAAATTGAACTCGATTTTGCTGAGTGTCTATAAATTGCATGCCTGGTGTATTTGTCTCATGAAGATATCGTGACAGCTCTGTAAGATGAGGTATGATCTCTATTGTAAAGATGGGGAAACTGAGTGATAGAGAGACTACTTCTCACAGATGGTAAGTGGAAGAACTGGGAATGTAAGTCCCTGACTTAGCCAGGACTCTTTCTACCTAGACTACAACCCAGAAAACTCGTTCTCTGTTGGACACTGTGTTTCAGGGATAATTGAGTTGACATTTAGTGTGACAGAACTTACATAAAACTTTACGAAAGGCAGTCTTCAGACTTATTTTCCCCAAATACCACTGGCAGGGAACAGGCAATTGTGATGCTGGGTGTTAAATGCCATGGTAAGTATAATCCTTGATAGAGGACACCAGCCTAACTGGGAAGAAGGGGTCACAGAATAATGTTCTGGGTGGTCATGACACAAGTAAAATTTGAAGGAAGAATAATGCAAGTTAGCCAGATACAAGGTGTTAGGGTCAGTGGAGGAGTAAAGATTTTAAGTAGAGGGAGGAGCAGCCTTGGTCACAGGATTTGGACATCTTTTGATTTTTGTTTATTGTTGTTCATATAGTACTTCAAGTGGTTTGCTTGTGATTGTATTCTTGTAAAACTTTTCACTAAAAAGTAAAGGGCAAGAAAAAAATATATTTTAAACATGGACATTTTTCTTCTCTTTTCTCTCTTTCCAGGCCCGAAATGCAGAAAAGGCCATGTAAGTATCAACTTGTTTTTGGCTGTAAATTTTTTGTAACTTAAAAACCACCATGTAACTCTTTGTGTATTTCCTCTTTTTGGTATCTGAGCCTTTTGAGAAGCTGTTTCTTTCTTTACATATGTTATGTTCTTACATATGCAAAAACATTCCTGTTTTTGCCCATTTGTTTTCTCCATTTATGTGTTTTCTCACAGTTTCCAGAACTTAAACACTGGATGAACATTTGTTCACCTGTGGTTGGTGCAGGGGTTGTGAGAGTGACAGCCAGGGAACACACCATGATGTTAGTCTTTTAACACCTGGATGTATTGCTTATCACAGTGGTCTGATAAGTAGAGTTTCCCACAGTCCTTATGTGTAGTGTAAGTAAAATAGATTCTTGGGTGTTCAGGAATACAAATTGCCTCATAATTCCTACTCCTGAGAACATGGAAATCCCTAACTATTCTGTGGTTTCTTAATTACAATATTTGTATATGAATGACATTAAATATGGTCATAAGCAGATCTACCCCATACAGGAACATGGGTAATGAGAAGTCTGTATGAGCAGGATCTAATGGAGTCTTTTATCTTTTATATCGCTGGTAGGACGGCCTTAGCAAGATTTCGCCAGGCTCAGCTGGAAGAGGGAAAAGTGAAGGTTGGTGTAAATCTTCCTCATGAATTGTAAAGTATCAAGAATAAATGCAGGCTGGGTGCAGTGGCTCATGCCTGTAATCCCAATACTTGGGGAGGCTGAGGTGGGTGGATCACTTGAGTCTAGGAGTTTGAGACCAGTCTGGGCAACATGGCAAAATCCCTTCTTTACAAAAAATACAAAGATTAGCCTAGCCAGGCATGGTGGCGCCTGCCTGTAGTCCCAGCTACTGGGGAGGCTGAGGCAGGAGAATCACTTGAATGCAGGAGTCTTACACTGCAGGGAGCCATGATCATGCCACTGCACTCCAGCCTGGGTGACACAGTGAGAACCTGTCAAAAAAAAAAAAAAAAGTAGGGTGCAGTGACTCACGCCTGTAATCCCAGCACTTTGAGAGGCTGAGGGGGGTGGATCACTTGAGGACAGGAGTTTGAGGCCAGCCTGGCTAACATGGTGAAACCCCATCTCTACTAAAAATACAAAAATTAGCTGGGCATGGTGGCAGGCACCTGTAATCCCAGCTACTTGAGGCTGAGGCAGAAGAATCACTTGAGCCCTGGAGACGGAGGTTGCAGTGCACCGAGAGCGCGCTGCTGCACTCCAGGTCAACAGACTTCAAACTTCAGAATTTCCTATTTCTTATCTGTACCTGCTGACGCTCTTGAGAGTCTGTACACTTGAATTCCAATACCTCCCCATAGCTGAGGCAGGGTGATGGATCTGGCTGCTTGTTTTTCAGTTTCTTCTGTATTATGATGACTGGGCCCGGCCCTTTTTTTTTTTTTTTTTTTTTTGAGATGGACGCTCTGTCGCTCAGGCTGGAGTGCAGTGGCGTGATCTTGGCTCACTGTAACCTCCAACTCCCTGGTTCAAGCAATTCCCCTGCCTCAGCCTCCTGAGTAGCTGGAATTACAGGCACATATCACCACACCCAGCTAATTTTTTTGTATTTTTAGTAGAGATGGGGTTTCACCATGTTGGCCAGACTGGTCTCAAACTCCAGGCCTCAGGCAATCTGCCTGCCTTGACCTCCCAAAGTGGGAATTACAGAGATGAACCGCCGTGCCCAGCCTGATGACTGGGTCCTTTATTACTCCAGCTCTAATATTGAATAGGGACTGGAGTATGATGTGGAGAACAGCTGTAAGCTGAAACCGGTAAATTATTTCATTTCTTAGAGACTCACCCAAATTAGAGATAATATATACCATTCTTTGGATTTTTTTTTTAATTTTATATACGCACATGTATATGAATACACCCATATTTATGTATGTTTGTTTTAAACACTGATAGACATTGTTTCTTAAGGTACTATAAATATGCCATGAAATAGCTATAACCTAGTTTGGCTGTCTCTCTATTGCAGGACAGTTAAGTTCTTTCCAATATTAAATACAATGCAATCAATGTTTTTCCTAAGGAGAGATTGTAGAATGAGGTTTAAGGCTTGATGAGGATCATCTGGAATGAAAACTTCAAATGTTTTTAGGCCATTAGATGATTTAGGCTTAAGGCCTGAATCAGTTCTGAATGTTGTTTGAAACTTGTAAATAGTATAATGGAAATGTGTTATTTTTTTCTCCTTAGGAACGAAGACCCTTTCTGGCCTCAGAATGTACTGAACTGCCTAAAGCTGAGAAGTGGAGACGACAGGTATGTTCTGGGTAAATCTGATTTCAGTAGAAGTAACAAGTCTCTCATTTCTTCTTATTATCTAAATGACTGTTAGACCAAAAGTCTAAGTATTTTTAAATACTAATTTTGAATTATAGTTTTTCTGTGCTTTCTAACATATTCAAAAATTATTAAAATGTATTACTTTTTTTTAATAGATCATTGGAGAGATCTCTAAAAAAGTGGCTCAGATTCAGAATGGTAAGCAAACTTGTTCCTTTAAAGTGCTTGATTCTCAAATCCACAATTAGACTTGAGGACTTCAATACTCCTTTCAAAATAATCAATAGAGCAAGTAGATAGTAAATCAGTAAGGACATAGAAGAGCCAATCAATACGATCAGTCAGTTTGATGTAGTTGAAAGTTGTAGAATACTCTGTCTCACAACACTGTACCTAACAATAAAGAATACGTCATTTTTTTTTTTTTTTTTTGAGACAGAGTCTCACTCTGTCACCCAGGCTGGAGTGCAGTGGTGCGATCTCGGCTCACTGCAAGCTCAGCCTCCTGGGTTCACGCCATTCTCCTGCCTCAGCCTCCCGAATAGCTGGGACTACAGGTGCCCACAACCACGCCCGGCTAATTTTTTTGTACTTTCAGTAGAGACAGGGTTTCACCATGTTAGCCAGGATGGTCTTGATCTCCTGACCTTGCAATTCGCCCGCCTCAGCCTCCCAAAGTGCTGGGATTATAGGTATGAGCCACTATGCCCGGCCTAATACATGGTCTTTTTTAAGAGCACGTGGAACATTCACCAAAATAAAACATATTCTGGGCTGCAGAACAAATGTTAGCAAATTTAAAATATTTGAGGCCGGGCGCAGTAGCTCACGCCTGTAATCCCAGCACTTTGGGAGGCCGAGGAGGGAGGATCACCTAAGGTCTGGGGTTTGAGACCAGCCTGACCAACATGGAGAAACCCCACCTCTACTGAAAATACAAAATTGGCTGGACGTGGTAGCGCATGCTTGTAATCCCAGCTACTTGGGAGGCTGAGGCAGGAGAATCGCTTGAACCTAACGGGCGGAGGTTACAGTGAGCCAAGATCACACTATTGCATTCCAGCTTCAGCAACAAGAGTGAAACTCCATCTCAAAAAAAAAAAAAATTGAAATTACACAGAGTATTTTCTCTGATTATAACAACAGATTCATATCTGAAAAATTCCTAAATATTTGGAAATTAAACAACATATTTGTAAATAATTCATGTGTCTGAGAGGAAACAGCAAAGAAATTAGAAGATATTTTGAATTTAATTAGAGTGAAAACGTAATGTCAAAATTTAGGGGATGAAAAAATTTATGGGATATAGTGCTTAGATAAAAATGTATAGCACTGGCCTGGTGCGGTGGCTCACACCTGTAATCCCAGCACTTTGGGAGGCCGAGGCGGGTGGATCACGAGGTTAGGAGATAAGAGACTATCCTGGCCAACATGGTGAAACCCTGTCTCTACTAAAAATACAAATATTAGCTGGGTGTGGTGTCATGTGCCTGTAATCCCAGCTACTCAGGAGGCTGAAGCAGGAGAATCGCTTGAACCCGGGAGGCGGAGGTTGTAGTGAGCCAAGATCGTGCCACTGCACTCCAGGACTCCATCTCAAAACAAACAAACAAACAAACAAACAAAAAATACATATATAGCACTGAAATAATAGAAAATTATGAAAGTTTTCAAATCAGTGATCTAAGCTTCTACCCTGTGAAATTAGAAAAGAAGAGCAAATTAAACCCAAAGCAAGCAGAAGGAAGGAAATAGTAAAGATAAGAAATCAATAGCATTGAAAACAAGATGAATAGAGAAAACAGACCAACAGCTGGTTCTTTGAAAAGATCAATAAAATTGCTGGGCGTGGTGGCTCACGCCTGTAATCCCAGCACTTTGGGAGGCCGAGGCGGGCGGATGACGAGGTCAGGAGATCGAGACCATCCTGGCTAACACGGTGAAACCCCGTCTTTACTAAAAATACAAAAAATTAGCTGGATGTGGTGGCAGGCGCCTGTAATCCCAGCTACTTGGGAGGCTGAGGCAGGAGAATGGCATGAACCCAAGAGGTGGAGCTTGCAGTGAGCTGAGATCGCGCCACTGCACTCCAGCCTGGGAGACAGAGCGAGACTCTGTCTCAAAAAAAAAAAAAAGATCAATAAAATTGATAAACTTCTAGTCAGACTGACCAAGAAAAAATATACACAAATTAAGAATATTAGGAACCAAATTGGGAATATTACTATAGAATCTATATACATTAAAAGGATAATAAGGAAATATTACAGACAATGTTATGCCCATAAATTTGACAACTTAGATGAAATAGGTCAATTCCTTACAAGACACAAACTGCCAAAGCTCACTTAAGAGAAGTGGTCCTTTTTTTTTTTTTTTTTTTTTTTTGAGATGGAGTCTTGCTCTGTCACCCAGGCTAGAGTGCAGTGGCGAGTTCTCGGCTCACTGCACTGGGTTCAAGCAATTTCTCCCTGGGTTCACCTCCCTGGGTTCAAGCAATTTCTCCTGCCTCAGCCTCCCGAGTAGCTGGGATTACAGGCACCCTCCATCATACCTGGCTAATTTTTTTTTTTTTTTTTTTTTTTGAGACAGAGTCTCGCTCTGTCACCCAGGCTGGAGTGCAGTGGCGCCATCTCAGCTCACTGCAGGCTCCGCCCCCCGGGGTTCACGCCATTCTCCTGCCTCAGCCTCCCGCGTAGCTGGGACTACAGGCGCCCACCCCCTCGCCTGGCTGATCTTTTGTATTTTTAGTAGAGATGGGGTTTCACCGTGTTAGCCAGGATGGTCTCGATCTCCTGACCTCGTGATCCGCCCGCCTCGGCCTCCCAAAGTGCTGGGATTACAGGCGTGAGCCATGGCGCCCAGCCAAATTTTTGTAATTTTTTAGTAGAGACAGGGTTTCACCATGTTGAACAGGCTGGTCTTCAATTCCTGACCTCAGGGGATCCACCCTCCTCGGCCTTCCAAAGTGCTAGGATTACAGGTGTAAGCCACAGTGCCTGGCCGAGAAATAGTTCATTTTGTTTTGTTTTGTTTTGTTTTGAGACAGAGTCTTGCTCTGTTGCCCACACTGGAGTGCAGTGGCATGATCTTGGCTCACCGCAGCCTCTGCCTCCCGGGTTCAAGCGAATCTCCTGCCTCAGCCTCCTGAGTAGCTGGGCCTACAGGCGCCCACCACCATGCCCAGCTAATTTTTTTTTGTATTTTTAGTAGAGACGGGGTTTCACCATGTTAGCCAGGATGGTCTCGATCTCCTGACCTCATGACCTGCCCACCTCACCCTCCCGTAGTGCTGGGATTACAGGCTTGAGCCACTGCGCCCAGCCCTGAAGAAATTTTTGATTGTTACAACTGGAAGGGTGCTACTGGCACATAGTGGGTAGAGGCCAGGGATGTGCTAAGCCTCCTACAAATAATTATCCTAAATAAACTACAGTGTCAATAATTCTACTGTTTAGAGACACAGTTCAAAAAGAAATGGTAAACCTGAGTAGTCCTATATCTGTTAAAGAAATTGGGGCTGTGCACCGTGGCTCACGCCTGTAACTGCAGCACTTTGGGAAGTGGAGGTGGGTGGATCACCTGAGGTTAGGAGTTCAAGACCAGGCTGGCCAACATGGTGAAACCCTGTCTCTATGAAAAATACAAAAATTAGCCAGGCATGGTGACGCATGCGTGTAATCCTAGCTACTTGGGAGGCTGAGGCAGGAGAATCACTTTAACCCAGGAGGCAGAGGTTGCAGTGAGCCAAGATTGGGCCACTGCACTCCAGCCTGGGTGACAGAGCGACAGTCCATCTCAAAAAAAAAAAAAAAAAAGATGGAAAGAAATTGAATTCATTTCTAAATACCTTTCTAAAAGAAAATTCCAGACCCAGATGGCTTCACTGGTCAGTTCTACTAAATATTTAAGGAAGAAATAATACCAACTCCACATAGTTTCCTCAAGAAAATGGAAGAAGAGGGAACACTTTGTAACTCATTTTGTGAATTTTAGTATCAGCATTACCCTGATGCTAAAATCAGAAAAAGATATTATGAGAAATAACTACTGACAATATTTCCTATGAATATAGACAAAAATCTTTAATGAAACATTAGCATATCAAACCTAGCAATGTATGGCCGGGCGCGGTGGCTCACGCCTGTAATTCCAGCACTTTGGGAGGCCAAGGTGGGTGGATCGTGAGATCAGGAGATCGAAACCATCCTGGCTAACACACGGTGAAACCCCGTCTCTACTAAAAATACAAAAAAATTAGCCGGGCGTGGTGGCAGGTGCCTGTAGTCCCAGCTTCCTGGGAGGCTGAGGCAGGCGAATCGCTGGAACCCGGGAGGCGGAGCTTGCAGTGAGCCGAGATTGCACCACTGCACTCCAGCCTGGGCGACAGAGCGAGACTCCGTCTCAAAAAAAAAAACAAAACCTAGCAATGTATAAAAAGGATAATACATCACAACTAAGGAGGATTTATTCTGGAAAAACATAGTAGATTCAGCATTCAAAAATAAGTTAATTCACTGTGTCATTCCAAAGAAGAAAAACTGTATGATCTAAGTAGATGCAGAAAAAGTATTTGACAAAATTAGACGTTTATTCATGATAAGAACTCAGCAAACTGGGAATAAAAGGGAACTTTTTACCCTGATAAAGCACTTCTTTTTTTTTTCTGAGACGGAGTTTTGCTCTTGTCACCCATGCTGGAGTGCAGTGGTGCAATTTCAGCTCAATGCAACCTCCGCCTCTCAGGTTCAAGTGATTCTCCTGCCTCAGCCTCCCGAGTAGCTGGGATTACAGGTGCCAGCCACCACGCCTAGCTAATTTTTGTATTTTCAGTAGAGACAGGGTTTTACCATGTTGGCAAGGCTGGTCTCGAATTCCCAACCTCAGGTGATCCACCCACCTTGGCCTCCCTAAGAGCTGGGATTACAGGCATGAGCCACCACACCCGGCCCTGATAAAGTACTTATAAGAAACCCATAGCCAATAAACTATTTAATGGTGAAGGATTGAATGCTTTCCTCTTAAGATCAGGAACGAGGCAAAGACATCCACTCTCACCACTATATTCAGCGTGATGCTGGAAATCCTAGCCAGTGCGGTAAAGTAAAAAAAGGAAATAAAAGGCATAAAGATTAGAAAATAATAAGTAAAACTGTCTTTATTGTAACATAGAAAATCCTATATAATTTTCTTTTTTTTGAGATGGAGTCTCGCTCTGTCACCCAGGCTGAAGTACAGTGGTGCAGTCTCGGCTCACTGCAACCTCTGTCCCCTGGGTTCAAGCGATTCTCCTGCCTCAGCCTCCTGAGTAGCTGGGACTACAGGCATGTGCCACCATGCCCGGCCAATTTTTGTATTTTTACTAGAGACAGAGTTTCGCCATGTTGGCCAGCCTGGTCTCGAACTCCCAACCTCAGGTGATCCACCCGCCTCTGCCTCCCAAAGTACTGGGATTACAGGCATGAGCCACCATGCCCACCTAAAATCCTACATAATTTTCTATGTAGAAAATCCCAAGGAACCTACAGAAAGACTTCTAAAATGGATAAGTGAATTTATCAAGATCACAGAAAAGAAGTTCAATATACAGAATTATATATATACACACACACCCCATATATATTCATATATATATTTTTATATATTTATATATATTTTTATATATTTATATATTTTATATATTTATATATATATATATTTTTTTTTGAGACAGAGTCTTCCTCTGTCACCCACGCTGGAGTGCAGTGGCCCAGTCTCGGCTCACTGCAACCTCTGCCTCCCAGGTTCAAGCTATTCTGCCTCAGCCTCTCGAGTAGCTGGGACTACAGGCATCCACCACCACACCTGGCTGATTTTTGTATTTTTAGTAGAGACAGAGTTTCACCATGTTGGCTAGGCTGGTCTGGAACTTCTGGGCTCAAGTGATATCTGCCTGCTTCAGCCTCCCAAAGTACTGGGATTACAGGTGTGAGCCACCATGCTCAGCTTCAAAATTATATTTTTATATACTAACATTGAACAGCTGGAAATACAACATTTTTTTAAAGTGCTATTTACAAAAGCACCAAAACACAAGAAATAACTTAGGTATAAATCTTTTTAATTTTAATTTTATTTATTTATTTTTTTGAGATGGAGTCTTGCTCTGGCGTCCAGGCTGGAGTGCAGCTCACTGCAAGCTCCGCCCCCCAGGTTCATGCCATTCTCCTGCCTCAGCCTCCCGAGTAGCTGGGACTACAGGCGCCCACCACCACGTCTGGCTAATTTTTTTTGTATTTTTAGTAGAGACGAGGTTTCACCATGTTAGCCAGGATGGTCTCGATCTCCTGACCTCGTGATCCACCCGCCTTGGCCTCCCAAAGTGCTGGGATTACAGGCATGAGCCACCGCGCCTGGCCATACTTAGGTATAAATCTAACAAAATACAGTCAGGATCTGTATGCTGAAAACTAGGATGCGATGACTAAAGAAACCAAAGAAGACCCGAATGAATGGGGAGATACACTGTGCTGTTGTATGGGAAGACTTAACACAGTACAGATGTTAATTCTTTCTCTCTTCCAATATATCACAATCAAAATTCTAACAGGATTTTTTGTTTACATTGACATTCTATGTCTGAAATTTAATTGGAAAGGCAAAGGAACTAGAATAGCCAAAACAATTTTGAAAAGGAACAAAATTGGAGCATTCATTCCACCTGATTTCAAGATGTAATAGAAAGCTCCAGCTTCCAGATAATGTGGTATTGGTGAAAGGACAGGGCACATAGACCAAAGAAACAGAATTAGAAGTCCAGAAATAGAGCCACACATAAATGGTCAGTTGACTTTTTCTTTTTTTTTTTTTTTTTTGAGATAGAGCCTTTCTCTGTCACCCAGCCTGGAGTACAGTGGTGCAGTCATAGCTCACTGCAGCGTCCACCTCTTGGGCTCAAGTGATCCTTTTGCCTCAAACTCTCATGTAGCTGAGACTGCAGACGCATGCCACCATGCCTGGCTAATTTTTTTCTTTCTTTCTTTTTTTTTTTTTTTTTTTTGAGTTGGAGTCTTGCTCTTTCGCCCAGGCTGGAGTGCAGTGGTACGATCTTGGCTCACTGCCTCCAGGGTTTAAGCGATTCGCCTGCCTCAGCCTCCCAAGTAGCTGGGACTACAAGTGTGTGCCACCATGCATAGCTGATTTTTTTTGTGTATATATATATATATATATATATATATTTTTTTTTTTTTTTTTTTTTTTTTTTAGTAGAGACGGGGTTTCACTGTGTTAGCCAGGATGGTCTCCATCTCTTGACCTCCTGATCCACACACCTTGGCCTCCCAAAGTGCTGGGACTACAGGCGTGAGCTGCTGTGCCCAGCATGCCTGGCTAATTTTTTTTTTTTTTTTTTTTTTTTTTTTGAGATAGAGTTTTGTTCTTGTCGCCAGGCTGGAGTGTGGTGGCGTGATCTCAGCTCACCACACCTCCACCTCCCGGGTACAAGTGATTCTCCTGCCTCAGCCTCCCAAGTAGCTGGGATTACATGCATGTGTCACCATACCCAGCTAATTGTATTTTTAGTAGAGATAGGGTTTATCCTTGTTTGTCAAACTGGTCTCGAACTCCCAACCTCAAGTGATCTGCCTGCCTCGGCCTCCCAAAGTGCTGGGATTACAGGTGTGAGCCACTGTGCCCAGCCCTGCCTGGCTAATTTTTAAGTTTTTGGTAAAGATGGGCTCTTGTTATGTTGCCCAGGCTGGACTTGAGCAGTCTTCCTGTCTGTGTCTCCCAAAGTATTGGGATTACAGGCATAAGCCACTATGTCTGGTTTGGTCAGTTGACTTTTGACAAAGTTATGAAAACAATTCAATGGAGAAGGGGATGACAAATAACTCTTAAAAATTCATCGATTAGAAAATATAATTTGTTTTAAGAAGTGGGCAAAATTTTGAACAGATACTTTACCAAAGAAAATATGTAGGGTGGGCATGGTGGCTCACGCCTGTAATCCTAGCAGTTTGGGAGGCCGAGATGGGTGGATCACTTGAGGCCAGGAGTTTGAGACCAGCCTGGCCAACATGGCAAAATCCCATCTCTACTAAAAATAAATACAAAAATTAGCTGGGTGTGGTGGCTCACGCCTGTAATCCCAACTACTTGGGAGGCTGAGGCATGAGGATAGCTTGAACCTGAGAGGCAGAGGTCGCAGTGAGCTGAGATTGTACCACTGCACTCCAGCCTGGGCAACAGAGTGAGACTGTCTCAAAACATAAAATAAAATGTAGATGCAAATGAGCATCTTTTCATGTGTTTAACATAATAGTCATAAAGGAAATGCAGATTAAAACAACAGTGGGATACTACACACTTAATAGAATGACTTACACAAATAGTGACCATGCCAAGTGCTGGTGAATATGTGAAGTAATGAACTCTCATGCACTGCTAGTGAGGAGGCAAAATGGAACAGTTACTTTAGAATGGGGTTTGGTGGTTTCTTATAAAGTTAAACATACACTTAACCTATGATCCATCAATTCCACTCCTAGGTATTTCTCCAAGAGAAATGTAATACTTTTCTGTTACACAAAAACTCATACATAATGTTTATAGTAGCCCCAAAACTGGAAGCAACCCAAAGGTCCTTCTGGTGAATGGATAAACAAACTGAGGTGTGTCTATAAAATAAAATAATACTCAGTAGTAAAAACAAACATATAGGCTAGGCACCGTGGCTTATGCCTGTAATCCCCAGCACTTTGGGAGACCAAGGTGGGAGGATCGCTTTGAGTCCAGGAGTTGGAGACCAGCTTGGGCAACATAGTAAGGCCTCATCTCTGTAAATAATAATAATAATTAAAGTAAATAAAATTAAAACATATCGATGAATAAATAAAAATAAAAAAAATAAATAAAACATTTCAACTCAGCCTAATGCTGAGTGAAAGAAACAAAACTCAAAATACTGCATAATTTTTGATCCATTTATATGATGTTCTGGAAAAGCAAAATTATAGGAACAGAATAAATTGTGTTTACTGGTGGCCAAAAGTTGGGTAGGGGGAGGGGTTGACTATAGTGATGCATAAGGGAATGTTTTGGGGCGATGGAACTTTTCTGTGTCTTAATTATGGTGATGATTACATGATTATATGCATTTGTGAAAACTCACATAATTGTGTACCAAAAAGTATTGTTTTTATATGTAGATTTTGGAAAGTCAATAAAAAAAATAAAACTTGTGATTCTTGTTTTCTCCAAGATGCCTTGGCTTTGCTTTGGGAGAGGCTTCTGGAATCCTCTCCCTTTGCTTTGGTTGAGGCCCTCAGAGGATTGGGCTGCCTTGAGTTCTCTGTGTCTTTAGCACTGGAAAGTCTCACCATGGTGGTGGCAGGTCTTTTTTCTTTCTTAATAGAACAGAACGTGGGAGTGGGAGGTTCTAAAATGTATTTTTTTTATTTTTTTATTTTTTGTGAGACAGTCTTGCCCTGTCACCCAGGCTGGAGTGCCCTGGCGTGATCTTGGCTCAGTGCAACCTCTGCCTCCCAGGCTCAAGCTATTCTGCTACCTCAGCTTCCTGAGTAGCTGGGATTACAAGCGTGCACCATCACTCCTGGCTGATTTTTGTATTTTTAGTAGAGACAAGGACTCCCCCATGTTGGCCAAGGCTGGTCTCGAACTCCTGACCTCAAGTGATCTGCCCTCCTCTGCCTCCCGAAAGGCTGGGATTACAGGTGTGAGCCACCGCACCCAGTTACAATATATTCTTACTTGACTTTTTTTTTTTTTTGAATGGCGGTCTCACTCTGTCACCCAGGCTGGAGTGCAGTGGTGCTATTACAGCTCACTGCAGTCTCCACTTCCTGGGCTCAAGCGATTCTCCCACCTAAGTCTCCCAAGTAGCTGGAACCACAGGCATGTGCCACCACACCCAGTTAATTTTTCATATTTTTGGTGGAGATGGGATTTCACTATGTTGCCCAGGCTAGTCTTGAACTCCTGAGCTCAAGCAGTCCACCCACTTCTGCTTCCCAGAGTGCTGGGATTACAGGCGTGAGCCACTGCACCTGGCCTGTTTGACTTTTTTAAAAAAATAGACTATCCAGGCAAGAATTACATGTAATAAAATTCCCCCGTTTTTAATGTAGAGTTGGATGAGTTGCAGCAGATTTTTATACCCGTGAAAGCCACCACCTCCACATGCAGTATCCATCACCCCTAGAAGTCCTCTCATGCCCATCTTCTAGAGCATCAGTCTTAGCTGTAACCCAGGTGTAAGAGCCCTTCTGGACTTGCTGTTGTCATCCAGCATTACCTCATGAAGGCCTTGCTGTGTCTCCACTGTGTGCAAATTGTCCCTTTCAAAAGTTATATGATGTTTCATTTCAACATATTAGGGTTCATTAACCATTTTCCTACCTTCTCTGTGGTGTGATGCCCCAGCTGCACCACAGTGAAATTTGTTGTGTACATCCCTTTCAATTAATCCCTTAGGCATAATTCTTAGCCCTATAGTCCTTGCCAAAAATTTTTCCCATATAGCAATACATTGCTTTCCTGAAAACGCTAAACCATCATAGAATGCTGCCATCCCTGGGTGCGTATCCCAGCCTCATTGTGTCTTTGCTGGCCTTAGTTGCTGTTTCCCCATCTCTCTTAAGAGCTTGTTATTTCAGTAGTTTTATAAATGGAACTGCTGGGTTGTTTCAGGGTTGTTTATATTTTTTTGGTTGCTAATGAGAATGAAGTTATTTTCAAGGATTTTTTTTTTCTTACGCTAGTGGGAACTCTGTTTATAATTCTTGTCCTTTCATTTATTTGGGTGGTTTTTCTTATCAATTTAGATGAGTGTTTTTATGTAGTATACCTTTGTAGGTGTTGACATTCATTTTAAGGATATGATACTAAGTGTACGTGTTAGAGGTGTTGACATTCATTTTTATGGAATGATATTGTTAACCTTTTTGTTTTCTAGCTGGTTTAGGTGAATTTCGAATTCGTGACCTGAATGATGAAATTAACAAGCTGCTAAGGGAGAAAGGACACTGGGAGGTCCGGATAAAGGAGCTGGGAGGTCCTGATTATGGAGTGAGTACATGGCAGCCCCAGTGGCGGGTCTTGTCTAGTTTTCCACCCACAGCAGTTCCCAGCTCATTCTTGCCATAGTAGTCGCTTGATACAGGAAAGCTATGAACAGGATGGGTAGGATGATGCTGGAAGACCTCACAGCACATGCATCACAGCAGACGGGGCATCTGTATGTACCAGCCAGAAGGCCTTGTGGAAGCTGCTTCATCTCTCGGCCTCGTGTTTAAAATGACCATGAGCCCGGGCATGGTAGCTCACTCCTATAATCCCAGCACTTTGGGAGGCCGAGGCGGGCAGATCACTTGAGGTCAGGAGTTCAAGTCAAGCCTGGCCAGTATGGCAAAAGCCCATCTTTTCTAAAAATACAAAAATTAGCTGTGTGTGGTGGTGCACGCCTGTAATCCCAGCTACTTGGGAGGCTGAGGCAGGAGAATCACTTGAACCTGGAAGATGGAGGTTGCAGTGAGCCAAGATCGCCACTGCACTCCAGCCTGGGCGACAGAGTAAGATTCTGTCTTCAAAAAAAAAAAAAAAAATGACTATGGTCCTTCACTGGGTGCAGTGGCACACACCTGTAATCCTAGCACTTTGGGAGGCTGAGACAGGATAAGCCCTTGAGCACAGAAGTTTGAGACCAGCCTGGGCAGTGTTGTGGGACCCTGAATCTACAAAATATTTAAAAATCAGCTAGGCATAGTAGCACATGCTTATAGTCCCAGCTGCTCAGAAGGATGAGGTGGGAGGATGGCTTGAGCCTGGGAGGTGGAGGCTGCAGTGAGCTGTCATCATGCCATTGCACCTCAGCCTGGGTGCCAGAGCAAGATGCTGTCTCAAAAAAAAGATAAAATGAGCATGGTTCCTCACATTCTTTAAGTGCCTTAGGAACTGGAGACAGCTATTTGTTGGCTTTGTTATCTGAGAGCCATAGAGACACTACATTCTGTCCTTTTTTTGGACTTCTATAAATGCAATACTCTAGAACCATAGCTTTCAAACTTTTAAGAACATGGCTCATTGTAAAACACACACAGACACACACACACACAATCACAAGCCAGCACACAAAGGTGCTGAAAAAAACAATAAGTATGGTATATTTTTTATTCTGTTCTATTTTGGTTTTTAAAAATTTGATGTTTGTGACCTGCTTAACTGATTTCATGATGCACTAATGGGTCTTGGTTTTGAAAACTCCTGCCCCAGAGCCTAATTCGTTCACACTTTTGTGATGAGACCTACCTCAGATCACTGGAAACAGTATGTAATCAATGGACTATAATGTGTTATATAAGAAACACATGCAGTTTTTCTACGTGTTGATCTTTTCACCTTGTGAAAGTCTAACACATAACCATAATTCTTACCCTAGTACATACAAATGGAGTATTCAGCCTTCCCACTGCAGAAGAGGAAAGGCACTCCCATTTCTGAAGCACCTTTTGTGTCTGGGCACTGCACTAGGAGACTTCTCTTGGGTGTCTTGCCTAACTTCTTTTTTTCTTTTCATTTATTTTATTTTTGCTGTTTTTTATTTTTATATGCCAATCTTCTCTGTATCATTCCGATTTTAGTATATGTCCTGCCAGAGTGAGCCCTTGCCTGATCTCTTCAGCAGTTGTGTGGTGGAGATTTTATTTTTCCTGTGAGGCAGCTTAAAAGCAGCTCATTAATCCACCTAGAAAAGTGGTCTCAGGTATGAAAAAATTCGTATGTGAAATGTTAAGTTCCACCACCCAAATTCAACACTATTAATATTTTTATATATTTTTTCCAGAGATTTTTAATGCTTAATAATTTTATTTTTATTTTCTACATATAAAAGTAATATATTACCACTAAGTTCAGAAAAGTACAAAGAAGCAGAACAACACTCAGTCACAATCCCATTACATAAGTGCAGCCACTTGAATATGCTCTTTATCTTTTTTCTCCTTCCGTTGTTTTTGTATGAATGTCATAATTGAAACCATACTCACTGTATGTACAATTTTGGTTCTGGATTTTGTTTTTCTTTTCAAAATGGTAGCTTTCATTATATAAACAGTACATATTTTTGTGCAGAGAAAAAATATAAATATAAAAATTATAAGATATAAAAAATACATATTAGTATATACATTATAGAAATTCATTAATATTCTATGTGCTTTATTCTCTAAACTGTACAAGGAATACAGTTTCGTGTCAATAAATAATCATATGATAGATATGTATATTGTTTTATTTTATTCTAGTTTAGTTTTTTTTTTTTTTTTGAGACAGAGTCTCGCTTCATCACCCAGGCTGGAGTGCAGTGGTGCGATCTTGGCTCACTGCAACCTCTGCCTCCTGGGTTCAAGCAATTCTTGTGCCCCAGCCTCCAGAGCAGCTGAGATTATAGGTGTGCGCCACCACACCTGGCTAATTTTTATATTTTAGTAGAGTTGGGGTTTGACCATGTTGGCCAGGCTGGTCTCGAACTCCTGACCTCTGGTGATCTGTCCGCCTTGGTCTCCCAAACTGCTGGAATTACAGATGTGAGCCACTGCACCCAGCCTCTTAGTTTTTGTGACAAGATTTTACTCTGTCACCCCAGGCTGGAGTGCAGTGGCACGATCATGGCTCACTGCAGCCTTGACTCCAGGTGCAAGTAATCCTTTTACCTCAGCCTCCTGAGCAGCTGAGATGACAGGTGTGTGCCACCATGCTCAGCTAATTTTTGTTTTTGCGACGGAGTCTCGCTCTGTCACCCAGGCTGGAGTGCAGGAGTGTGATTTCGACTCACTGCAACCTCCCCCTCCTGGGTTCAAGCGATTCTCATGCCTCAGCCTCCAGAGTAGCTGGGATTACAGGTGCCCACCACCACGCCCAGCTAATTTTTGTATTTTTAGTAGAGACAGGGTTTCACCATGTTGGCCAGGCTGGTCTCGAACTCCCTACCTCAGGTGATCCACCTGCCTTGGCTCCCCAAAGTGCTGGGATTATAGGTGTGAGCTACCGTGCCTGGCCATGCCCAGCTAATTTTTAAATTTTTTGTAGAAATGGTGTCCCATTATGTTGCCCAGGCTGGTCTTGAGCTCCTGGAGTCAATCAGTCATCCTGCCTCAGCCTCCCAAAGTACTGGGATTACAGGCATGAGCCGCTGTGCTCAGCCAAATTGTATGATTTAAAAAAATGTTTTTTAACTCAAAGAGCATTGCAAAAATATACAGAGAACTTTTATATACCCTTTATACAGATTTACCAGTATTTAACATTTTGCTTGTATTTGCTTTATTTTCTTTGTGTACCTTGAGATTTATTTTTTGTGAACCACTTGAAAGGTAGGTTACAATACATCATGCTTCTTTACCCTTTAATATATGTGTATTTCCTAAGAAGAATATTCTCTTATGTAACCATGGTAGAGCTATCAAGTTTAAGAAATTTAACTTGGCTACAATAATTGAATCCATGTGGCATTTCATCAGTTTTCCCAATAATGTCCTTGGTAGCATTTCCCCTGCAGTACAGGACCTGATCTGGGGTCACATACTACATGTAGTTGTCAAATCGTCTTTTTTTTTTTTTTTTTCGAGACAGAGTCTCGCTCTGTCGTCCAGGCTGGAGTGCAGTGGCGTGCGATCTCAGCTCACCCTAACCTCCGCCTCCCAGGTTCAAGTGATTCTTGTGCTCCAGCCTCCCAAGTAGCTGGAATTACAGATGTGCACCACCGTACCCTGCTAATTTTTGTATTTTTAGTAGAGATGGGATTTTACCATGTTGGCCAGGCTGGTCTTGAACTCCTGACCTCAGGTGATCTTCCCGCCTTGGTCTCACAAAGTGCTGGGATTACAGATGTGAGCCACCGCACCCAGCAAATCATCAGTTTTAATAGATATAGTTGTATCTTCTGGATATATTTCATTTGTTTTCCACTAATTGTCATATAGGTTGTTTGTAATCTTTTTAAAGGTTTTGTCACTTAGCATCGTGTTTTTTATCTTTATTTATTTATTTATTTTTTAATTATTTTATTTTATTTTTTTGAGACGGAGTCTTGCTCTGTCACCCAGGCTGGAGTGCAGTGGTGTGATATCAGCTCACTGCAAGCTCCGCCTCCCAGGTTCATGCCGTTCTCCTGCCTTAGCCTCCTGAGTAGCTGGGACTACAGGCGCCCACCACCATGCCTAGCTAATTTTTTGTATTTATAGTAGAGACGGGGTTTCACCATGTTAGCCAGGATGGTCTCGGTCTCCTGACCTCGTGATCCGCCCACCTCGGCCTCCCAAAGTGCTGAGATTACAGGCGTGAGCCACTGCGCCCGGCCTAGTTTTATTTATTTTTTTTGAGACAGGGTCTTGCTCTGTCACCCAGGCTGGAATGCAGTGGCACGATAGGTGTGTGTCACCATGCCTGGCTGATTTTTGCATTTTTTTGTAGAGACAGGGTTTTGCCATGTTGCCCATGCTGGTCGTGAACTCCTGGCCTCAAGTGATCTTCCCACCTTGGTGTCCCAGAGTGCTGGGATTACAGGTGTGAGCCACCGTGCCCAGCCCATAAGTGTTTTTTATTTATTTATTTATTTATTTATTTATTTATTTATTTAATTTACTCCAGCCCTGGCTGGAGTACAGTGGCACGATCTTGGCTCGCTGCAATCTCCACCTCCCAGGTTCAAGCAATTCTTCCTGCCCCAGTCTCCTGAGTAGCTGGGATTACAGGCATGTCTCACCACACCCAGCTAATTTTTGTATATTTAGTAGAGACAGGGTTTTGCCATGTTGCCCAGGCTGGTCTTGAACTCCTAAGCTGAAGTGATCGCCTACCTTGGCCTCCCAAAGTGCTAGGATTACAGGTGTGAGCCACTGCATCCAGCTATTATCTTAAAATATATTTGCAAACATGGAAATAGTGGGTTTAAAGATCAGATCTGCCAGGCGCAGTGGCTCACGCCTGTAATCCCAGCACTTTGGGAGGCCGAGGTGGGTGGATCATGAGGTCAGGAGTTCAAGACCATCCTGACCAACATGGTGAAACCCCGTCTCTACTAAAAATACAAAAATTAGCCAGGCGTGGTGGCACGCACCTGTAATCCCAGCTACTCAGGAGGCTGAGGCAGGAGAATCACTTGAACCCAGGAGGTGGAGGTTGCAGTGAGATTGTGCTACTGCACTCCAGCCTGGGCAACAGAGCGAGACTCCACCTCAAATAAATAAATGGGCAACAGAGCGAGACTCCGCCTCAAATAAATAAATAAATAATAACTAACTAACTAACTAACAGATCCATTTTCTCTTTTTTTCTTCCCAATAAGAAAGTTGGCCCTAAAATGCTGGATCATGAAGGAAAAGAAGTCCCAGGAAACCGAGGTTACAAGTACTTTGGAGCAGCAAAAGATTTGCCTGGTGTTAGAGAGCTGTTTGAAAAAGAACGTAAGTAAGTTTGTGACAGTTTTAGCCTTTCATTGGTAATAATCATAAGAGTAGATATGCTATATGCTAACTGCTCTTACTTTTTTTTCTTAGTTGCATAACAGCCTTATAGTGTAGGAATTATTGTTCCCAGATTTTAACTGAGAATTCTTAAGAACTGGGATAGAATCATAGGCCCATGCCATACAATTGGGGCTGGAAAGTGTGCCCAGGATTGGCTGGTGCAGGATTCTGCCTTTGGCAGGTGCTAATCTGTCAGTCTGGACAAGGAGTTTCCCTATTTGAAGTTTCCCAGAACGATTGGGGCAGGCTCTGAAGTTCATTGAATCAGGTCATGTTTCAGTTACTTATTAGTTGAACAAATGATAACCAAAGAACAAATACAATCTTGGGCCAAACCCTAAATGTAAAAATGGAGAAAAGTGAGGCCCAGCACTGTGGCTCATGCCTGTAATCCCAGCACTTTGGGAGGCTGAGGTGGGCGGATCACCTGAGGTAGGGAGTTAGAGACCAGCTTGACCAACATGGAGAAACCCCGTCTCCACTAAACATACAAAATTAGCTGGGCATGGTGGTGCATGCCTGTACTCCCAGCTACTCAGGAGACTGAGACAGGAGAATTGCTTGAATCTGAGGGGTGGAGGTTGCGGTGAGCCGAGATCGTGCCATTGCACTCCAGCCTGGACAGCAAGAGCGAAACTCCATCTCAAAAAAAAAAAAGGAGAAAAGTGGAGCTACTTTTGTGTGAATCCAAATAGGGCACACCCACCTTTCCTCCTTCTTTCAGCCAAACCTCCTGAATATAATTTGAAACTGTTAGTCTGGAGTTTTAGTCGGTTTTGATTTTGTGTTTTAGAAAGGTAGTCAACACTTCATAGGAAAAAGTATGAGAGGCAGAGAAGAATGATGCCAGTATTTTCACCATTATTAGCATTTTGTTATATCTCCTTCTAGTTGGCTTTTCTATTTTAAAAAAAATATAGTTCTATTTTTATTAAATGCTGCTTATTTTAAAATTCATTATTCCACAGCTAGTTTTGCATAGGCCACTACCATCCCTTAAAAATAATTCAGAGTTTAAATATTGTGCCATTAATTATGAAGGAATATATTTTTTACTACAGAGGAGTTATAGCCAGGCGCAGTGGCTCATGCCTGTAATCCCAGCACTTTGGGAGCCTGAGGCGGGAGAATCACAAGGTCAGGAGTTCGAGACCAGCCTGGCCAACATGGTGAAACCCTGTCTCTACTAAAAATACAAAAAAAATTAGCTGGGCATATGGCAGGCACCTGTAATCCCAGCTACTCAGGAGGCTGAGGCAGGAGAATCACTTGAACCTGGGAGGCAGAGGTTGCAGTGAGCCGAGATCGTCCCACTGCGCTCCAGCCTGGGCAGCAGAGCAGGACTCCATCTCAAACAAAAAAAAGTTATAAAATACAGAAAATCAGAAAAAAACCACTCACATTTTCACACCTCATATGTGATGATTGTTAATACATTAGGGCATTGTTCCCTCCAGTTTCTTTCTTTCTTTCTTTCTTTTTTTTTTTTTGAGATGGAGTCTTGCTCTGTTGCGCAGGCTGGAGTGTAGTTGTGCAATCTCGGCTCACTGCAACCTCTGCCTCCCGGGTTCAAGTAATTCTCCTGCCTCAGCCTCCCAAGTAGCTGGGACTACAGGCGCATGCCACCATGCCCAGCTAATTTGTATCTTTTTTTTGTTTTTGAGATGGAGTCTCGCTCTGTCACCAAGGCTGGAGTACAGTGGCCCAATCTTGGCTCACTGCAAGCTCCACCTCCTGGGTTCACACCATTCTCCTGCCTCAGCCTCCTGAGTAGCTGGGACTACAGGCATCTGCCACCATGCCCAGCTAATTTTATTTTTTTTTTGTATTTTTAGTAGAGACGGGGTTTCACCGTGTTAGCCAGGATGGTCTCGATCTCCTGACCTCGTGATCCACCTGCCTCAGCTTCCCAAAGTGCTGGGATTACAGGCGTGAGCCACCGTGACCAGTACTAATTTGTATTTTTAGTAGAGACAGGGTTTCACTGTGTTGGTGCCAGGGTGGTCTCGAGCTCTTTTTTTTTTGAGATGGAGTTTTGCTCTGTTGCCCAGGCTGGAGTACAGTGACGCAATCTCGGCTTACTGCTGCAAGCTCTGCCTCCCAGGTTCACGCCATTCTCCTGCCTCAGGCTCCTGAGTAGCTGGTACTATAGGCGCCCGCCACCATGCCCGGCAAAGTTTTTGTGTTTTTTTAGTAGAGACGGGGTTTCACCATGTTAACCAGGATGGTCTCAATCTCCTGACCTTGTGATCCGCCCGCCTTGGTCTCCCAAAATGCTGGGATTACAGGCGTGAGCCACTGTGCCCAGTACTAATTTGTATTTTTAGTGGAGACAGGGTTTCCCTATGTTGGCCAGGGTGGTCTCGAGTTTTTTTTTTTTTTTTTTTTTTGACATGGAGTCTTGCTGTGTTGCCCAGGCTGGAGTGCAGTGATGCGATCTCGGCACACTGCTGTAAGCTCTGCCTCCCGGGTTTACGCCATTCTCCTGCCTCAGCCTCCCGAGTAGCTGGGACTATAGGTGACCGCCACCACGCCCGGCAAAGTTTTTGTATTTTTTTAGTAGAGACGGGGTTTCACCGTGTTAGCCAGGATGGTCTCTATCTCCTGACCTCGTGATCCGCCCGCCTCGGCCTCCCAAAGTGCTGGGATAACATCCCACTGCTCCCGGCCGGTCTCAAACGCTTGATGTCATGATCTGCCCACCTCGGCCTCCCAAAGCGCTAGGATTACAGGAGTGAGCCACCTCGCCTGGCTGTTCCTTCCAGTTTCTAAAGGGTTGTGTTGGGGTGGCTCCTATATTGTGATTATGCTCTATATGTTAGGTTTTTTGCATTTACATTTTTCTAAATATATTTTTGCTTATTCCAGTGATAGAGTTTTGGGTTTTTAAATTTATTTTTCCTTTTTTGTCATCTATTGAAAAGATTTTTGTTTTAGAAAGAAAATGCATAAGTGAATTTTACTGGTTATAATTCAAATAGCACAGATAGAGTTAAAGTCCTCTTACCTCTACACTCATCCCAGTGCCCCTCCTAGAGGTAACTGATAACCATTATTATCTGTTTGGTATGTTCCTTTCCGGCCTTAAAAATTTTTTTATTTTTTTAGGCCAGGTGCGGTGGCTCATGCCTGTAATCCCAGCACTTTGGGAGGCTGAGGCGGGCGGATCACAAGGTCAGGAGATCAAGACCATCCTGGCTAACATGGTGAAACCCCGTCTCTGCTAAAAAAAAATACAAAAAATTAGCTGGGCATGGTGGCGGGCACCTGTAATCCCAGCTACTTGGGAGGCTGAGGCAGGAGAATGGCGTGAACCCAGGAGGCGGAGCTTGCAGTGAACTGAGATCGCGCCATTGCACTCCAGCCTGGGCAACAGAGTGAGGCTCTGTCTAAAAAAATAAAATTAAAAAATAAAAAATAAAAAAAAAAAGAAGAAGAAAATACAAAATTAGCTGGGCATGGTGGCAGGTGCCTATAATCCCAGCTACTCGGGAGACTAAGGCAGGAGAATGGCGTGAACCCAGGAGGCGGAGCTTGCAGTGAGCTGAGATCACGCCATTGCACTCCAGCCTGGGTGACAGAGCGAGGCTCTGTCTTTAAAAAAAAAAAAAAAGAAGAAGAAGAAAATACAAAATTAGCCGGGCGTGGTGGTGCGTGCCTGTAATTCCAGCTACTCAGGAGGCTGAGGCAGGAGAATTGCTTGAACCCAGGAGGCGGAGGTTGTGGTGAGCTGAGATTGCGCCATTGCACTCCAGCCTGAGCAACAAGAGCGAGACTCCGTCCCACAAAAAAAAGAAAAAAACATGCTGGGATTACAGGCATGAGTCACTGCACCTGGCCAGCTTTTATTCTTTCACCAATCTGGTTGGTTGTCATTTTGTTTTTCATTTTTAATAATTACTTAGCCGGGTGCAGTGGCTCACACCTATAATCTTAGCACTTTGGGAAGCCTAAGCGGGTGGATCACCTGAGGTCAGGAGTTCGAGACTTGCCTGGCCAACATGGTGAAACCCCATCTCTACTAAAAATACAAAAATTAGCTGGGTGTGGTGGCGGGTGCTTGTAATCCCAGCTACTCGGGAGGCTGAGGCAGGAGAATCGCTTGAACCCGGGATGCAGAGGTTGCAGTGAGCCAAGATCATGCCATTGCACTCCAGCCTGGACAAGAGCGAAATTCCATCTCAAAAAAAAAAAAGAATTACTTAAATATTCTGGATTGTAGTCCTAGTCTGAAAATATCTTCTTTAGGGCTTTCTCATGTATCTTTTTTGTTTGTTTCTAGCTTCTTTTGTCTTTTTTATTTACTTATGTTTCCTGTCATGCTTTTTCATTAAACATTATGACAGTTCCTGTGTTATTAAAATACTTTGTGAAATAGCATTACAGGGGCTGCAGGATATCCCATCCCATAC
This sequence comes from Homo sapiens, assembly GCF_000001405.40. Lineage (NCBI taxonomy): Eukaryota > Metazoa > Chordata > Mammalia > Primates > Hominidae > Homo > Homo sapiens. The sequence continues at coordinate 129,135,892 of NC_000003.12, read as the reverse complement.
ATATTCTGCAATTTACAATCATAGGTTATTCCCAAGTTTTCTCTATTATATAAATAATACTGTGATGCATATTTCTGTACATGAAGCTTTTTGCTATCTCGTGTTTGGTTTTTGTTTTTTTTTTTTTGAGATGGAGTCTCGCTCTGTCGCCCAGGCTGCAGTGCAGTGGTGCAGTCTTCGCTCACTGCAACCTCTGTCCCCTGGGTTCAAGCGATTCTCCTGCCTCAGCCTCAGGAGTAGCTGGGATTACAGGGGCCCCCACCACCATGCCTGGCTAATTTTTGTATTTTTAGTAGAGATGGGGTTTCACCATATTGGCCACGCTGGTCTTGAACTGCTGACCTCGTGATTCTCCCGCCTCGGCCTCCCAAAGTGCTGGGATTACAGGCATGAGTCACCGCACCCGGCCTGGTTTTGTTTTTTACTTAGGTAGATTGCTTTTAAACGGACAAATGGGTCCAAGTACTGATTTTAAAAAGGGCTCTACCACTTAAATAATTCCATGAATAGTATAGAAAAGTGTCTATCCATGGTATTTTCTTTTTCTGTGTGATGGAGTCTTGTTTTGTCGCCCAGGCTGGAGTGCAGTGGCGTGATCTCGGCTCACTGCAAACTCTGCCTCCTAGGTTCAAGCGATTCTCCTGCCACAGCCTGAGTAGCTGGGATTACAGGTGCGCACCACCACGCCCGGCTAATTTTTGTATTTTTAGTAGAGACGAGGTTTCACCATGTTGGTCAGGCTGGTCTCGAACTCCTGACCTTGTGAGCCACCTGTCTGGGCCTCCCAAAGCGCTAGGATTACAAGCATGAGCCACTGCGCCCACCTGGTATTTTCATGAACATACGTGCCACGTGTGTGTATAGCGTTGCATCAGGAGACAGCTTCGCTGGAGTGTGATTATGACTTGGAAACTCAGCTCCATTTCTGTTTCTTATAGCTCTTCCTCCTCCCAGAAAGACACGTGCTGAGCTCATGAAGGCAATCGATTTTGAGTACTATGGTTACCTAGATGAAGATGATGGTGTTATTGTGCCTTTGGAACAGGAATATGAAAAGAAACGTAGGTCTCTGGGCATTTTATTTCATAATAGATGGCATCTGTTTTCTGTTGTGTCCTTTGAAAACAGGATTTTCAATAGTGCTTTATGCCAGAAGGGAGTTTTCTTTGTTGCTAATGATCTTCAGGCGTGATGGTCTGCTAATTCCCTGACCCCTGTGAGGCAGTCAAAGCTGTGTGGGCCAGAGGTAACAGGTTGGGGAAGCCATGAGAGCCACGTCTGACCGGTCCCTGTCTGCTAGGAGGTCACCATGTGGATTCGTGCTAATACCAGTGCCCATGTGACACATCAGGCCAGGACTTTGGAAGCAAGTGGTCTGGAGCTGGAGCTGCTTTCTAGCATGCTCTGCCCCTGCCTTCTCTCTTTTCATGTGGACATGTTGGGAATCCACTCAGGTTGTGGAAGTGGGGAGGATTTGGGAATGTTCCCTAAAAAGCTGCTTTGTAGTGACTGAAGGCCAGAGCTGTTGTAGGACTACCATGCTTCACATCCATTTCCACCCACGGGGGCAGAATGAAGGGTGTCCCTTTCTAGAGGGGATGTCTAGACTTTCCCTGCATAGTGTTGGCCTTTCCCTGCATAGTGTTGAAAGCTCATTTAGAGACAAATAAATAGCACCTACCCTCTCTTGTGTTCAGTCAGAGCCGAGTTAGTGGAAAAGTGGAAAGCAGAGAGAGAGGCTCGGCTGGCAAGAGGAGAAAAGGAAGAGGAGGAGGAAGAGGAGGAAGAGATCAACATCTATGCAGTCACCGAGGAGGAGGTATTGGGGTTGGCCCCCTCTGGCACTCACTGCCATCTGTTCCAAGCCATGAAGTGTGGCAGGGAGGAAACTTGGCTCCCAAATACAGAGTCAGGGTTCACAGCCCAGCTTGCTCACCTGCAGGATGGCTGTGAAAACACTTGCGAGATTACAGGAGGGTTTCAGGAGGCAGCAGCCATGAGAGTGCCCTGCCGGCCGTGCTTTACACCAGGGCTTCCTTCTTTCCTTCTTAAAGACAGGCCCTTCTGCATACACTAGAATTAGACTGATAAACACAGAGGAAGCCATGAGCTTTAGCCCATGACCTCATCACTTCTGTTCACGTGTCAGTGGCAGTTGCTCTTCTGTAGTCTAACACCCCCATCTTTTTTATTTTTTTTGAAACGGAATCTGGCTCTGTTGCCCAGGCTGGAGTGCAGTGGCACAATCTTGGCTCACTGCAACCTCTGCCTTCCGGGTTCAAGCAATTCTTCTGCCTCAACCTCCCAAGTAGCTGGGACTACAGGCGAGTGCCACCACGCATGGCTAATTTTTGTATTTTTAGTAGAGACGGGGTTTCACCATATTGGCCAGGCTGGTCTCGAACTCCTGACCTTGTGATCCACCTGCCTTGGCCTCCCAAAGTGCTGGGATGACAGGTGTGAACCATTGCTCCCAGCCCTAACACCCCTGTCTTACACATGGAAAGAAACGCAGAGCAGAGAAGAAACTTTCTTAGAGGGTCATGGTTGGGGAATCTTTGCATATTTTCAGACCTTTTGCATATTTTCTGATCTTTTGCATATTTTCTGATTTATAGGAAATACTCATTATATATCTTAGTTATTACTTTTTATTATAGCCACCATGTAAGTAATCTTGACATATCTGTCTGTGCTACACCTTTTATTTTTTCTATGAAACATTACCAAAACTTCACTGCATTAAAGGAGGTATTCTGAAACAAGGAAAATTCAACATTTGAAATCTCTGCCTCCCAGGCAGAGCTCTTCTGCGGGGCCCTATATTTGGAGTCCTTGCTGCCTGCACAGGTCTAGGTGGATCTGATTTGCTGGACTGAGAGAAGGGAGGGGATCACCCACACATGGATGATGGCTCAGGTTCCACATGAGGAGCTTGCTGAGACATCACTGGTGAAGAAGCAGGCTCAGGTTTAGTGACTTAATGTCACATGGGATATAACAGGCCTGACGTTCCTGCTCATGTCCAGCTGGGCCAGCACTGGGGTTCAGTGCAGGTCTGAAGCAGGATGGCAGCATGCCTTAGGAGGATTTCCTCTAGGTACAAATATTCATTTGCTCTCTCAGCAGGTGTTTAATTCATGGCTCCTGTGAGCCAGCCGCATTCCAGGTGCAGGGGCATGGTGGTACAGAGGCTTGGAGTGTAGCTCATAGTCCAGGGGGAGGCAGTCCAGTAAGAGAGACAGTGAGCAACAGTCCCTCAATAGAGCCTGGTGCAGGGACAGCCTGCAGACACTCTGCTGGGAAGCTAAACCCTCAGCTGAGATTAGGATGATCCAGCGAACTTAACCAAGGAAGGAGGAGATGAGAGAGGGCTCCCAGCAGGGGCGCATCATGTGCTGAGAGATCCTGTGATGAGTGTGAGAGACAAAGGACAGCCCAGTGTGCTGGAGTGCAGAGAGTGGGTGCTGGGTGTGAGTGGAGGCTGATGGGGAGCTGGCGTTGTGGGGAAGAGCAGTGGAAACCCACAGCAGAATTTTTTTTTCTTTTCAAATAATTATAGAGATACAGGAAGTTGCAAAGAGTACAGAGAGATCTTGTGTATGCTTCACCCAGTTCCCCCCAGTGGTTGTATCTCATGTAGTTCTAGCACAGTAGTAAAACTGGGAGGTTGACATTGGCATATTGAGTGTGTGGAGTTCTGTGTCATTTGTCTCCATGTGTGGAGATCCATGTGGCCATCATGACAATCCAGATACAGAACTGGCCGGGGGTGGTGGTCACACCTGTAATCCTAATACTTTGGGAGGCTGAGGTGGGAGGATTGCTTGAACTCAGGAGTTCAAGACCAGTCTGGCAACACAATGAGGCCCTGTTTCTACCAAAAATAAAAACAATTAGCTAGGTGTGGTTGGACATGCCTATAGTCCCAGCTACTCAGGAGGCTGAGGTGTGAGAATTGCTTGAGCTCAGGGGGTTCAGATTACAGTGAGCTGTGATTGCACCACTGCACTCCAGCCTGGGAACTGTCCCCTTACTACAAAGATCCCTGGTGCCACCCCTTCACAGTTCACACCTCCCTGTCCTCACCATCTCTTCTCCTAGCTGAACCCTAACCTGTTCTCCATCTCTGATTTTGTCATTTCAGAATGTTTTATAAATGGGATCATGCTGTGAGTCACCTTTCACGATGGCCTTGACACTTAACATGATGCCCTTGCCATCCCTCTGGTTGTTGAGTTCAATAGTTCATTCCTTTTCACTGCTGAGTGTTGTTCCATATACAGAAAAGTACACACCTGCTAAATGTGTAGGTCACTGGATTTTCACAGGGTGAACACACACACACATAGCAAATACCAGTGAAGAAACAGAACAGGACCACAGCGCCAGAAGCTCACTACTGCCTCAGGGGTCACCCTCCTGACCTCTTGTGACCCATATATTTCACTTGTGTCTGAACTTTACATATGTGAGTCGTGTGTACTCTTTTGTGTCTAATGTTTGTGGGTATTTGTGTTGTGTCCAGATTGGGGTTTTGGCAGATAGGGTTGCTGGGAATTTTCTTGTTCCCGTGCAGTGTTTCTCTTGAGTACATGCTGAGGAGTGGAACCACCAGATCAGGGTAGGTATGTGTTTAGTGTTAGATACAACCAGTTTCTCCAAGTGCCAGCAGTGGATGAGAGGTTCCTCAAGAGGCTTTTGAAGCCATCCCCACTGGGAGCCAGTCAGGGAATGGGTCGTGCACGGTGTCTGGCAGAGCCCAGCAAACAGTGGACTCCTGACTCGCCACAAGACCCCTTCTCTCTTTCCAAGTCCGTGGTGTTTTCTTTGTTATTAGAAATTTGTATTGACTCATAGGCAACCTCTGAGCTGATTATTTTTCTATGCATGGTACATTCTTTTACATTTAAATTTTTTAAAATAGTGATACATTCACAAGGTTCAAAAGTGAAAAAGAATATAAAGATATTCCACAAAGATTCTCTTTCCTCACCCTGTCCCTCATCTACCTTGGTCTCACTGCCGTCAGTAATTTCTATTCTTATTTCCTCCTTAGACAAAAGGTAGCATAATATACAGCGTGTTCTATGGCTTTTTTTACTTAATCTTGTGGGTCAAGTGTCTTTCTATAAGTATAGAACTTTCTTAGTTTTTTTTTCTTTTAAATAGTTGCAGAGTAGTGTGTTTTATAGAGTTGCCAGCATTTATCTAGCTGGGCGCCTACTGATGGACTTTCGTTTGTTCTGTTTGTAGTCGGACGAGGAAGGCAGCCAGGAGAAAGGAGGGGACGACAGCCAGCAGAAGTTCATTGCTCACGTCCCTGTTCCCTCGCAGCAAGAGGTAGGACCACAGCTAAGAGCTGCCTGGGCGCCGGGGGCTTCTCTAAAGCAGACTTCACAGAGCACTGTAGTGGGTTTTCGTTGTCCTTCCTACCCATCAGGGCAGCTCAGGGTCCTGACCACATGACACCTGTCATTGTGTTCAGGGTGTGGGGTCCAAAAAGGGCAGGACCCTCTGCTCTAGGCCATTCTATCGTTCAAATGTTTCCAATGGGAGGGAGTTAGGACTCTTGGAGACTATTCTGCGTATTTAAATCAGACTCCTTGATGGACTTCTCCCACGGGGACTTCCTCCTGGCTGGGTCTGGCAGGGGTTGAGGGGCTTTGCTGAGGAGTGAGCCCTGCACTCTTAATTTCCACAGATTGAGGAGGCACTGGTGCGAAGGAAGAAAATGGAACTCCTCCAGAAGTATGCAAGCGAGACCCTGCAGGCCCAAAGTGAAGAAGCCAGAAGGCTCCTGGGGTATTAGGACCCAGCTGGGGCTCTCCTTGGAGTTCTTCCATCCCCCAGTGGTACCTCAGGACCCAGGGCTGCAGACACAGGCTGGTGCTGCAAGGGCTCCTGCCCCATTCTCAGCCTTCCTTCCCTCTCCTTGTCTCATGTTGACCGGAGGGTAGGGGTCTGTCCCTGGTCTTCCTGGTAGGTTTTGTACACATATTTTGCTACTGTGTGGATCCATTTATTTTTATTGTGGAGTGTATACAACAGGTTGCGAACTGGCTGCCTGTGTCTTATTTTGACTTGCACTGCCATTTTGAGGGGAGAAGAATCAATTAGTGGCAAACATTTAAAAATGCAATTTTTTGCAGACCAAAGTATAATTTTAAAAAATGCAAATTTTCTAAAAGACACATCTCTTGAAAAATGAGATGATGTGGCCAGGCGCAGTGGCTCACGCCTGTAACCCCAGCACTTTGGGAGGCCGAGGCGGGCGGGTCACGAGGTCAAGAGATGGAGACCATCCTGGCCAACATGGTGAAACCCCATGTCTACTAAAAATACAAAAAAATTAGCTGGGCGTACTGGCATGCACCTGTAGTCCCAGCTGCTTGGGAGGCTGAGGCAGGAGAATCACTTGAACCCGAGAGGTGGAGGTTGAAGTGAGCCAAGATCGTGCCATTGCACTCCAGCCTGGCGACAGAGTGAGACTCTGTCCCAAAAAAAAAAAAAAAAAAAGATGCACGCAACCCACAAGTCAATGACCAGGTCCCTCTGTGTTGGTTGCTGCTCTGGGCTCTCCGTTAGCCCCCCTCCACCTGCTCCACTCGCTCCTGCCTGGGTGGCAGGAATTTGAGTTTGCTATTCCTGTTTTATAACCTGTTCTGCAGAAACCTATTTTTATTAAAGATTTTTATAAGAAAGGGAAACCTCCATGTCTTCAGCTTGTTCCCTGGGCCAACGGCTCTGAGGTGACAGTGGCATTAGGATGTGACCAGTCACTAAGGGGCACTGCCTTCCTGCAGGGGAGTCCCTGAAGCCCCAGCCCCAAGTGTGGCAAAGACAGGACCAGATCCCAGGAGTCTAGGTGGGAGTGAGCCGACCCACCATGGCGTCCGTGGCCACAGCTGTAGACAGGGCTCCTTGCAGTGGGCTGCACCGTGGCCTGCTGAAAGCACACAGTGGACACGAGCTGAGTCCAGAGCTTCCTCTGAACTGGGGCTTAGCTCTCCAGTGGGGAACCATGGTCAGCGGCTGTAGCCCCTGGGCAAGATGGTGCCTGGCTTCCTGCCCTCTGCAGGGTCATGGGAGTGTCTGGGAACTCAGGGTCAGGGCCAGATGGCTGTTCCTGGGGCCTGGGGCTCCAGCTCAGGCTGTTTGGGAATAGGAGGAACTCTTGGCTTGGAGAAGCCCATCACACAGCGGGAGGCCTGGGATGGTTGGTCTGCGGGGAGCAGCTCAGACTGGGGGTGGCAGAGCCGTGTGTGGCTGTGTGTGGCCAAGTCGGGAGAGTGGCCAGTGCTGGGCCCTCTCTAAGGAGCCCGAGGGCCACAAGGACTGTGGAAAAGGTCTGAGTGAGGGAGTCGGGAGCTAGTGGCTAAGGGACTTGCTTGAGGACGCTCCGTGCGGCCACAAGGAGAGGCCCAGGCAGGACCAGGTCAGGAGGAGGCTGGGGCAGAGGCCCTGGCAGGAGGTGGGTGGGCTTGGTGGGGATGGGAGTAGCCAGGGTGTAGGTGAGGATGGGGAAGGGGCCCCCCTGCCTCCTGGCTTCCCTGAGGGCTGGGCTGGCCAATCCCAGCCCTCAGTCAAGCCCGGAGGCAAATGTGTGCAGGGAGGAGAGGTGTCCAGGTTGAAGCTTTGGGAGCCCTTGGAGGCAGCAAGGCAGACTCGCCTCTGGGACCCAGCACCCAGCTTGGGCCTGCAGGTGGGGACTCAGGAGTGAATATCGTGGGGGCTTTGAGCAAGACCCTCTGGGCCCAGCCTCACCTTCCATACTTTGAAGTCAAGGAGTGGACCTGTGCTGTCTCAGTTTGCTCTGGGGTCTGGGCAGTCCTGTGGTTTGGGCAGAGGCCTCAGAGGGCCCTAGGGACAGACTGACCCAGGTCTGAGCCTCTTGGGAGCGTGCGGATGGCCGGCCTCAGACAGGCCTGGTTGTGGGTTTGTCTTCCAAGGGGCACACGCGCACTCTGGTGCTTCCTGGCATTCAGAAGAGAATGGGGAATCCAGACATCAGGCCTTCCTTCTCCCTGGGAAGGATGGCAGGTGCTTGGAGCCAGGCCTGTCTTGAGAGCCAGGGCTCTGGGTCTTCCTCCTCCAGTGCCCTGTTCCACGCCTTCAGTGCACAAAGCACTCCCCTCCTGGGATCTCTTCAGGGATCCCCGGGATGCAAACTGGCCAGGGATTAGAATTCCACATTTGAGCAAACAGACTGAGAGTGGAGAAGCACCCAGCTGGACATCCTCTAGGTGTTCCTGGCAGAGGCCCTTGCTACTTGTCTGTGCCCAAAGGCCCTAGAGGGTCCTAGATGTGGGACAAGGTCTCAGCAGGGCTCCAGTCCCAGGCCTGGAAACAGCTGGGGGTGGGGGAAGCTGGCTGGGTGGGTGTGGTTATCTTTTCCCAGCTTGTGGCTCCGAGGTGACAGAACCAATCTCAGGAGGCTTTGTTTGGTTAATAAAATCTACTGAATGGTTTATTTTAGCTTTGGCTCTGCCTGTGGTTTCCCGAAAAGCTACTTTTTCATAGTCATGTTTCCATCAACTTCCTTCTTCCCTCACACTGCCTGTCCTCCAGCGTCTAAAACACACCACCTCCCTCCTGTTTTGCTTTAAGACTGGTCACAGCATCCCCACCCAGGCCTCCTGGACCTCCTCCCGCTGCATCCCCAACTGGCTGACCCCATCTGCCCTTGGGCAGTTTATAAACAAGGAAGAAATGAAAACCTTTCTCCTCTTGCCCTGCACTTGCTCTGCAGTGCTGCGCATGCACACCCCATTCCCTGAAACACTGGCAGGATCTGGACCCTAGCTGGGGCTCCTCACCCTGCTCACTGTGCAGCACTGAAAGCAGGAACCCGCCTGGATGGACATCAGGCCTGGCCCAGCACCCAGCTGACTAGCAAGCAGAGGGATCCAGGGGGACGGGCAGCGGCACCCAGCTCCTTCTGGCATCTCACTTGCTGCCCACCTGCTCCACCAGAAAGGATGCAGAAGGCAGTGTCCGTGGAGGGCTGGCCTGGCACTCTGAATCCTGCTTCTCTGCCGCAACTCGTGGGGCTTTTAGCAGGTCATGCAGTTCCTGAGCCTGGGTTCTCTTTCCCACAAAATGAGCCGTGGAGAGGGCAGAGTTGTTTACAGTTCTCTAGCTGGGCCAGGGTAGAAGTCTGTAAAAAACTGGTGTGTTTGAGGGGCTGGAAAGTCAGATGAGGGGCTGAGGGGAGATGATGTTGGGAGAAGAGGAACCTTAAATGTGTGCGTGTTCCTGAGGGTCTGGGACTTCGCACTGAACTTGCTTGAGCAGGGGATGCCTTTGTAAGGTCCCTTCTAGCAGCAGATGGGGTGAGGGTAGGGGTTGTGCTGGGGGCACTAGAAACAGACCAGGGAGGAAGCCAATCTGATCCTCTAGGGGATGGCTGGGTCTGGTCGGGGGCTAGCAGTAGAGGTGTGAGTTCGGGTGCTGACCCCTATATTTTGAGTCAGATCCTCAAGTGTGAGACCAGTGCCATCAACAGAAGCAGCGAGAGTGGAGGTGCTCATTTGCCCGTGTTTATGATATTTTGGGATTCTGGGAGGAGAGAGTGGGTGCCTGCGTTTTCTCTGGTCACCAGGTGAGTGCAGAGGGCTGTTTATGGAGGAGCCTTTCCAGCCAGCAGTCAGCACCAGCCAGAGCACTGAAGTTTATGACTGCTGTAGCCGATTGTGCTTTATTCCTACTTTTAATTTTCAGAGTCCAGAGTGCTCACCATTACAACACGGAATCTCACAATCCTACTTTTAATTTTGTAATATTTTGTAGCAAGCACCCCTCTGTATGAAAGACACAGGGTATTGTGGTTGGCATCTGGCCTTCATGGTGTTTTTTCACTTGGGGGCACATTTTCAGCACTAGCCTTGGCATCACCACATAAAGAAAATTTGGGGCCGAGCGTGGTGACGCACACCTGTAATCCCAGCACTTTGGGAGGCCATGGCAGGAGTATCATTTGCTTGAGCCCAGGAGTTCAAGACCAGCCTGGGCAACATAATAAGACCTCTACAAAAAATAAAAAAATTAGCTGGATGTAGTAACGCACGTCTGTGGTCCCAGGCCTGTGGCCGAGTACAAGAGGCTGAGTTGGGAGTATGGCTTGAGCCCTGGAGATTTGAGGTGGCAGTGAGCCGTGATTGTACCGCTGCACTCCAGCCTGGGCAACAGAGGAAGACGCTGTCTCCCCCACACCCCTACCCCCCCAAAAAAAGAAGAAAACTTGTCTGATAGTGTTGTAGGTTTATATTTTAATAATGGCAAGTGTAGAAAGAAAAAGATGAAAGGAGAAAGAAGGAAGGAGAAAACCAGGTACGAATGTCCCTTTAGCCACTTGGAGGAGGTCTGATCCAGGGAACATTGCCAGTATGGGATACCCTCTTTATCATCTGAGATGGTGCCACTGCATGGCAATGACACAAACAGTTAAAATGCATTCAGCTCACCCACCACTAGCTTTAAGAATGTTAAATTCTTGGCCGGGCGCGGTGGCTCATGCCTGTAATCCCAGCAGTTTGGGAGGCTGAGGTGGGTGGATCACAAAGTCAGGAGATTGAGACCATCCTGGCTAACACAGTGAAACCCCGTCTCTACTAAAAATATAAAAAATTAGCCAGGCATGGTGGCTGGAGCCTGTAGTCCCAGCTACTCAGGAGGCTGAGGCAGGAGAATGGTGTGAACCCGGGAGGCGGAGGTTGCAGTGTGCAGAGATCGCGCCACTGCACTCCAGCCTGGGCAACAGAGTGAGACTGTGTCTCAAAAATAAAATAAAATAAATATGTTTCTTGGCCGGGCATGGTGGCTCATGCCTGTAATCCCAGCACTTTGGGAGGCCGAGGTGGGCGGGTCACCTGAGGTCAGGAGTTCAAGACCAGCCTGGCCAACACAGCAAAACACTGTCTCTACTAAAAATACGAAAATTAGTTGGGTGTGGTGGCACACGCCTGTAATCCCAGTTACTGGGGAGGCTGAGGCAGGAGAATTGCTTGAGGTTGCAGTGAGCCAAGATCAGGCCATTGCACTCCATCCTGGGCAACAAGAGTGAAACTCTGTCTCAAAAAAAAAGTTAAATTCTTGACCAATTTTTTTTTCTTTCTTTCTTTTTTTTTTTTTTTTTTGAGACAGAGTCTCGCTCTGTCGCCCAGGCTGGAGTGCAGTGGCATCATGTTGGCTCACTGCAAGCTCCACCTCCTGGGTTCACGCCATTCTCCTGCCTCAGCCTCTGAGTAGCTGGGACTACAGGCGCCGGCCAACACACCCGGCTAATTTTTTGTATTTTTAGTAGAGACGGAGTTTCACCATGTTAGCCAGGGTGGTCACGATCTCCTGACCTCGTGATCCGCCCATCTTAGCCTCCCAAAGTGCTGGGATTACAGGCGTGAGCCACCGTGCCCGGCAACTAAATTCTTGACCTATTTTAAAAATTTTGCAATATAGGCCGGGTGCGGTGGTTCACGACTGTAATCTCAGCACTTTGGGAGGCCGAGGTGGGTGGATCATGAGGTCAGGAGATCGAGACCATCCTGGCTAACACGGTGAAACCCCGTCTCTACTAAAAATACAAAAAATTAGCTGGGCATGGTGGCGGGCGCCTGTAGTCCCAGCTACTCGGGAGGCTGAGGCGGGAGAATGGCGTGAATCCGGGAGGCGGAGCTTGCAGTGAGCCGAGATCGCGCCACTGTACTCCAGCCTGGGTGACAGAGCGAGACTCCGTCTCAAAAAAAAAAAAAGTGCAATATACATTTTTTCAAATTTGGTGTATTAAATGAAACATAAATATTTTTTAATTGCTGCATTTCAAATTAGCATGATTCCATTTCAAATAAAATGCCACTGTGCTACTCAGGAATTTACCACCAAAAGAGGAAATGCAGATATTAGACAGCTTTATTGAGGTATAATTTACATACCATAAAACCCACAGGTTGTAAGTTTACATTTTAATGATTTTAATAAACTTGAGGAGTTGTGCAACCCTTACCACAGTCCAATTTTAGAATCACCCCGCAAAGGCAAGGGAGTGGTGCCTGGGTTTTCTGACAAAATCTATACTCAGACCAACATGTCCCCTGCCCCAGCCCAACCAGTTCCAGGCTAGAGCAGTGGAAAGGCCAGTTAGCTATCCAACCACCGTCTACCCCTACGCTTCATCCTGGCTCCTGGATTCCACACCATTTTGTGCTGTGGTAGCTGCTCTGAGCTGGGGGCAGGCCTTGTTTTCTGGAGTTCTGGACTTTGACCTGAGCTAGTCCCAGCATGCAGAAACCTTCCATCCCATCTCCTGTCTACTTCTACCCTGGAGTGGAGGTTATTTCCTGCCTCTCTAACTCTCCGCTCCCATCAGGTGTACCAAAGTGGGGCTCTCAATTGCTTTTCAGTGGCACTTTGGGGTTTCCTGTCTGATTCTGTTGGGTATTTCCCATGGGAGTGGAGTTCAAACTTTCAGAAGAAACAACTCTTCTGCCTTCTCCACGGGGTCTGCCTTTGCAGACTGCTCATTCAGTCCCTTTCTATCTTGACCTGAAAGGTTGGCTGGGGTCCTCACAGTGGCACTGGGGGACTTGCTCTCTGCGAAGTCTCCTTCAGCTTGAAGACTTTCCCCTTTTCTCCTGGATTTTTGTCTGCTTTGTCCACAGGTGCATTACAAGGCCCCAGGACAATGCCCGCCTGTAGTAGCCATTCATTAAATATGTTGAATACCTGGAATTGGAGTGCCACAAGGAAGCTGTCTAGAGGGGTAAGGGGTGCTGTCAATTCCTTCCCATCTTCGGAGCTGGGAAGCCCAGTCCTGTTGGATCTAGTATAAGCTTCTTACAGATGTTTGGGTCTCCTTTCTCTGAGGCGCCCTGGTTCACTGGGCCAACTCAGGAGTTGGTCTGCCCTTCCTCAGAAATCCCTTCAAGTTTTTCTGTTCCTCTTCCTAGACTGGTGCTTTTTGGCTGGGTCAGTTTCCCAAATGGGCCTGTAGCTGCTCTGAGCTGGGTCATCCAGCCGTTTAGCAGCTGCTTCAACCACTGCTAGGCTGCCTTTTGGAGACAAGAGCTCCCAGCTCCTCCTTCTGGCCTAGCTTCCCATCAAATGGGGCCCTGGGTCCTCTCCTCACAAGGATTTTGGGCTCCTCCGCAGTTTTGTAGCCAGCCTGGATTCTGGCCTTCTGCAGCCTGCTCCCTCCCTTCCCTTCCGCCCCTGGGAAGAGCGACCCCCACCACTCTCGGAGACTGCACTGCCCGCCTGTCAGAGTGGGCACTCAGGTGACACTGCTGTGGTCGTCCCCTTCCTCCGTGATCCATTCCGGAGGGGGTCATTCTTAGTCTAGGCCTGCAGGCCCGGAGCTCCAGCCATGGTCTCCGCCTGTCCCTGACCGGCGGTCTGGGAGGCAGCAGGTAGGGGATCCCGGGCAGGCGGACCAGGCCTGGGTGGGGGGCGAGCAGGAGGCGCGGGACAGCACCTGGGGGTCCCAGCTGATGAAGGGTCGGGGTGGGCAGCGGTTTGGGGGCCAGACGGATCCGCGGTGTGGGCGCGCCGGGGTGTTGATGGAGGAGGGGCCGAGGTGCTGAGGGCGGGGTCGGGCTGGGGTCGGGGCTGAGGGCGGAGTCGGGTGGGGCGGAGTCAGAGCTGAGGTGAGCCTGAGGGCGGAGTCGGGGCGGGCTGAGGTGGGCCTGTGGGCGGAGTCGGGGCGGTGTGCTGAGGTGGGCCTGAGGGCGGAGTCGAGGTCGGGCTGAAGGCGGAGTCGGGGAGGGCTGAGGTGGGCCTGAAGGCAGAGTCGAGGTCGGAGCTGGGGACGGAGTCGAGTTCGGGCTGAGGGCGGAGTCGGGGCGGGCTGAGGTGGTCCTGTGGGCGGAGTCGAGGTCGGGCTGAGGGCAGAGTCGGGTCGGAGTCGGGGCGCGCTGAGGTGGGCCTGGGGGCGGAGTCGAGGTCGGAGCTGAGGGCGGAGTCGGGGGCGGGGACGTAGGCGGAACCCGGGTCGGGCTGAGGTGGGCCCGAGGGTTGGGCTGGGGGCGGAGTGGGTGCCAGCCTGAGGGCGGAGCCGGGGGCGGGCGGGGGCGGGCTGGGGCGGGCCTACAGGCCAGACTGGTGTGGCACGGAGCTGAGGACCGGCCGGAGCTTTGCGGAGGGCCCGGCTTGGCGGGTCCGGGGGGGAGCCGAACCCGCGGGGCACCGGGTCCGGGCGGGGCCGAGCCGGGCCGGGGCGGGAGCCAGCCGGGGTGGGGCGGGGCCGAGGCCGAGGCAGGCGGTCGGCAGTGCTGGGGGTTCAGGTGTTGCGGCGGCTCCACGTAGCCAGGCGGCCCGTGGGCTGGAGCGGGCGGAGCTCGGCCCGCGGCTTGCGTGAGCTCAGGCCGGTCCCAGCGTCCAGAGCGCCGGCCCTTCGGCTTCTTCTAGGCCATGGCAGGGCCGGGCCCAGGCCCGGGGGACCCGGACGAGCAGTACGATTTCCTGTTCAAGCTGGTGCTGGTGGGCGACGCAAGCGTGGGCAAGACGTGCGTGGTGCAGCGCTTCAAGACCGGCGCCTTCTCGGAGCGCCAGGGAAGCACCATCGGCGTCGACTTCACCATGAAGACGCTGGAGATCCAGGGCAAGCGGGTCAAGGTGGGAGGCCGGCCAGGGCCCCTGGAAGGCGCTCCCTCGGAGGGTGGGGCGGGGGCAGCGGAGCCCCTGGCCGCGGCGAGCGCACCCCGCGTCCATCTGAAGTTTCCTTTGGCTTCCCCTTTTTCCTTCCTCGGGTCGGAGCAGGCCTGGGCCCCGGGGTCTGGGCCGGGTTCAAGTCCTCAAAGCGCCGGCCGTGGGTTGCTGGGGGGGGGGGGGGCGAGGGAGTGTGGAGGAGGCGGCCCTGCCCTCCGGAGCTCACACCCTAGGAGGGGACTGTGCTCCAAAATAACTTTAGCCATTGGAAGGCAGGGGGTTAGACTCCCCTGTTCCAGGTACTAGCGGAGCGCCTTGGAGTGCGGAGATCAGACCCCCCACCTCCATCCACCGCGATGGCAGCCCCCAGCTCAGCCCACCGGCGGGGCACTCAGCCAGAGAACTGCATCCCCACCCCAGGACTAGGAGCGATCAGGAAGTAGTTGCTTTTAGGACCAGAGGGCCAAAACTTTTTGTCAGAATTTCCGGCCTGGCCACGCCTCCCTGCAGTCTCTTTGTGGACCTGGTGGTGGAACTTTACTCGACTAGGGCCAGCCCCGGTTCCCTCCCCCAGCTGGAGTTTGATAGAAACTGAAAACTTCACAGATACCGGAAGGTGGGGGAGAGAACCAAGCTTTGGCAATGGCTCCGAATAAAAACAGCAGGATGTGGTTGCCACAATGTCCTGGCAGTGGTTTGATAAATATTTGTGATGAATGAAATCAGAGTTTCTTAACCTAGGTGTTAGTACTCCCTAATCAACCAGGAGATCCTGGGCTGAAGGCACTCAGTAACTTTTCTGAACCGCACTGTACAGAAATCTTTGCTTGCTTTCATGGTTTCGAGCCCCCATGATCTTCAGGACACCCTCAGGGCACAGGGCTGGGACGATCTCTGCCAGGGAGATGGGAGTCACTGGAGCCTTGCTGCTGCTGGGCTCTGCCTCTCCGGGTGGCTCTAGGCCTGCTCCTTGTTGCCTTTGGCTAGGATATGTAGCTCTTTGTCTTTGTTTCTATAAAATTGGGATAATTTCTGGGTGTTGCCTCCCTCCTGCCCCAAGGTGGAGAAAAAAGTAAGTCAACAGTCTTTATGTGTCCACAGTGCCTCTCAGTAGATGTGACGGGGAAGCAGAAACTCCTGCCTGAGGGGTTTTATTATTATTATATTTTAATCGTCTTCTGGGGTCTGTGTTTTGGTCTCCGTGGATGGAAAAGAGCAAGGTGCAGAAGGCAGCTTTGAGTCACTCGGGACCACCCTTTTGGAGCAGGTAGCCAGGGAAGGGCTGGAGTGGGTGGAGTGTCCGTTATTGAGTGTGCCCAGTGATGATGCCAGCAGCTGCAGGGAAATGGGAGTGTGAAAATACAGGCTAAAGAGCAGTGGTGTCCTCCTCATGTGCTATCGGTCTGTGTCTGGAGTGTCTGTGGTGGCCCAGTGCTGACGGTGGTCAGGGAGGGGGCAGGGTTCCTGTTTACCTGTTGAGATAACAGACTGTGTCCCAGCAGAGCTCCTGGTTTACTGCGCACGGGTTATGCAATGCAGGGCCAGGCAGTTCGTTATTTTCTTTCCTTATGGTTGCCTCCAGATTGTCCTTCCTAGGAAGCAGCCCGGGGCCCAGGGAGCAGAAGAGCTGTGTAGCTGTGGTAAACACCTCTCCAAGTTATAGCCGCTGACCTTCTTGAGAGGCTGTTGGGAATCAGCTGGGTTACAGGTGCATTCTCTGCTGACTGGAGGGAATTCTTACCCCCGCTCACACAGGATGGAGCCTGGGCACACAGCTAAGAAGTGATAGAGGTGGGAATATTTTTCCCAGTTTTTCTGACTCCAAAGCAGATTTCTCCCCCATAGTGGACAGCTTTTCAGAATCCCGTTGTCTGTGGTGGGGAAGCCTCTGGCAATTGTTTACCACCTCATTTTGCCGGCAGGAAAACCTGAAGTCTAACTCACTGCAGAGGCTCCAAATTAAAGCTGGGCAGCCGTGAACTTGAGGGAACACTGTCCTTCGAGTCAGGCTTCCTGGGGTCCGCTGCCGCAGCAGGAGCAAGCCATTTTCCCTCCTCCATCTGTAAAGTGCCTCTGAGTAGTCTTTTGGCAATGTGATTTTAAGTCAAGTTTTTTGAGGTCTAATTTACACACGGTAAACCTTCACCACTTGAGGTGTTACAGGTCTATGAACTTCTCAAACTTACACAGACAAGCAGCCACATCACTATCAAGATGGAGAATTTTTCCACCAACCCAGAAAGTTCTTTTGTTCTTCTGTAGTCAGTTCCTTTCACCTCATCCTGTGGCAACCCCCGATCTGTTTTTTGTCTCTGTAGTTTCAGCAGTGTGATTTTAACTGAAAGCCTTGATGAACCAGAGCTTATTGTTGTTTTTTCTGTGGAAAGCAAGTGCACATCAGGGATTCAGTGTAAAACCTTTCCAGGGGCCGGGTGCAGTGGCTCATGCCTGCAATCCCAGCACTTTGGGAGGCCGAGGCAGGAAGATTGCTGGATGTCAAGAGTTCGAGATGAGCCTGGCCAGCATAGTGAGACGTGGTATCTATTTAGAATAAAATAAAATAAACCTTCTCAGGGCCTGTCTTGGGAAGCCCGAGATGCTTGTCCAGCAAGCATCCAGTCTTATATCCTAAAGCTTTCCCTGTGATTCTTTACAATGATGCTGGGTTTTATTAGAGCTTCAGGAAGCTTAGAGATGGATCACCTGGTGGTTTTCTAGCTCCTGTGAGCTTGGAGGTACTGAAAGGTAAGGAGAAAAGCCAAGAGGTCAGAGAGAGGGTCAGAAGGGCTTTAACTAGCTTCCCAACCAGTCAGAGCAATACCTTTATCTAGTTGTAGGTTGAAATTCTTGTTATTTGACTAAAGAATTCTCCTGCTAAAAAAACCGAAACATTTGAGAATCACAGATTTAATCAAATTACTTTATTTCTGTAGCCACTTCCCATTACAACCAGAATAACCTCCAAACACCTTCCCCAAAGAGATGGACCTCTGGAAGGAGACAAAGTTGGAGAGGCAGACAGAGGCCCATCTCTACCCTTCACTGCCTGCTCTCCAGCTTCACTAGCCCTTCAACATGGTGGGCTTACCCCTGCCTCAGGACCTTTGCATCTCTTCCCGTGCCCATCATACTCTGCCTCTAGATCCCCACGTAACTGCTACTTCATCATTCAGGTCCCAACGCAAATGCCACATCTTCAGAGAGGCCTTGCCTGATCTCCCAGGTCCTCTATTCTGTAACTCTATTGTATCTGGTCATAACACTTACCACAGCTTCAAATTAACTGTTTTTTTCTGTCTGCCCCTATAGAAGGTAAGCTCCTTGAAGACACAGGGATCCAGTGGGCCAGTGTCAAACACATGGTGTCCAATATGTGCCTGTTAATTGGTTCCTTTATAGAGAGAAAGCTGAGGCCAAGGTCACTTACAACTCTGTGGCAAAACCAAGGGTTTGGCTGGCTCCTAAGCCCAGTCTTCATTTTTACTTGACCACCCTTCTGATTTGCTCTGAGTTCATAAAGATGACCGTGAGATTCTGAAAGTGAATGGATCTAATAAAAATGCAGTTGTGGCCATTGCATTCACTGAGAGAAGAATGTGGAATGGGGCATTTTAGAAAGATTGGGGTTGACAGTTAAAGAGTTTTAGGGTGTTTGGTTTATTATTAACCAAAACGTGTAGATATACCCAAACGGCTCAGAGACACTGCTGTACGAGTCAGTAAGGCTTTGTATATGGTGATCATTTCCAGTGTTCTTGTGGATGCATTTGACTGTAGCTATGAGAACTGGACTTATAAAGTGAATCTGAGTGCTGCTTATCTTGCATACTGTGGAGTCTCTGACAGAGAGCACTGGACTAGGAGTCTGAAGTTCTGAGTCTTGCTTCAACCCTGCCACAGACTTGGGCAATTCATTTTTTTTCTCCTTGGAGCCTCAGGCTTCCTCATCTGTGAAATGGGACTAATGGTCTTTGCTCTGCCTCTTTCTTAGGGTTGTCAGAAAACTTTGAACATGCTTAAAATAAAGTTTCCATGACTTACTTTTGAATAGATAAACCATTCACATGGTTCAAATTTCAAAATTTTAAAAACTTCAAAGGGTATATATAGTGAAAAGTCTCCCTTCCGTGTTTGTCCCGTAAGCCACCCAGTGTCCTCTAAGAAGAAGCCATCAGTGTTACTCATTTCTTATTTAAAAACAAGGATTTATAAATATATATTTTTTTATTGCTGCAGTTACTGTTTTCCTCCCTAGATGAGACAGATTAGGTCTGAATTTGCCCCTCCCCCACCCCTCCCTCCTCCCCACCTCAGTGTCCTCAGGAAATCTCAGCTGGCTCTAAATCCTTAAAACATTCTGAAGCTCCTCTACTCACTCTTATCTGGGACAACACAAAGGCCTGTTATGTAAACTCGTTTTTGCAGATCACTAGGCACACCGGCCTCAAGTCCAGCGCAGAGGTCAGCCTTATGGAACTGTACCCCTCTATTCAGCTCTCTCTCAGGCTCACTGTCTGCTCGCTAGGGATGCTGCCAGATCTCTCCTTCATAGAGGTAAAGTCTGTGCCCTTGGGCCTGGACCTCCAGATTTCAGGACCTTTGGCCTTGACTCTCAAGCTTCCCCTTGCCCTAGGAGTCAAATTTGTTTTTGTAGCTGCTCCTGGCACTTCAAAAAGAGGGGGCAGGGCGGGATAAGAGGAAATGGTTTCTGGTTAAAGTTTGCATTCACAGTCCTTCCAATCAAGAGTCTAGTTCTGCTCATCTGTTCTTTTCCTATTTGGATAAAGTTTGTTTGACTTTTTCAGTTTTCATTAGAAATAGCAAAAGGACTGTTAGATAAGAAAGAAGTTCTAGGTCGTGCTGATTTTCTGAAGAAATCTGTTCTTGATACCAGGGACAGCCATCCTAATTGCAAAATAAACCTTGCCTCTCGAGGTTTCTTAGAATCCTGAGACAGCATGTCTGGTGGAGAGATAGTGGAAAGAGGGCCAGCTTTAGAACTGCACAGCACCAGGTTAAATCTTATCCTCAATGGATATGTTCTAAGACCCCCAGTGGATGCCTGAAACTTCAGATGGTACTGAACGCTATATAGACTATGTTTTGTCTTATACATACATGCCCATGATAAAGTTTAATTTATGAATTAGGCACAGTACGAAATTAACAACAATAATTAATAACAAAATAGAACAGTTATAACAATATGCCAGCATCGCTATTCCTGCGCTTTGGGGCCATTATTAAGTAAAATAAGGATTCTTTGAACACAAGCACTGTGATACAGTACATGCTGGACAAAGGTATGATTCACATCCCAGGTGGGACGGAGCAGGATGGCGTGAGATTTCATCATGCTACTCAGAATGATGTGCAATCGACTTATGCATTATTTCTAGAATCTACCATTTAATATTTTTATTTGTTTTTTTGAGACAGAATCTCACTCTGTCGTCCAGGAGGGAGTGG
The DNA here is from genome assembly GCF_000001405.40 of Homo sapiens. Classification (NCBI taxonomy): domain Eukaryota; kingdom Metazoa; phylum Chordata; class Mammalia; order Primates; family Hominidae; genus Homo; species Homo sapiens. The sequence goes on along the minus strand of NC_000003.12, from coordinate 129,115,783 downwards.
AGTGGTGTGATCTCGGCTCACTGGAACCTCCACCTCCCAGGTTCAAGCGATTCTCCTGCCTCAGCCTCCCAAGTAGCTGGGATTACAGGTGCCCACTACCACACCCAGCTAATTTTTGTATTTTTTGGTAGAGATGGGGTTTCACCATGTTGGCCAGGCTGGTCTCAAACTCCTGACCTCAAGTGATCCACCCACCTGGGTCTCCCAAAGTGCTGTGATTACAGGTGTGAGCCACCGCGCCTGGCCTACTTAATATTTTTATTTTTTATTTTATTTTTTGAGACGGGGTTTCGCTCTTGTTGCCCAGGCTGGAGTGCAATGGCATGACCTCTGCTCACTGCAACCTCCGCCTCCTGGGCTCAAGTGATTCTCCTGCCTCAGCCTCCTTAGTAGCTGGGATTACAGGCATGCACCGCTGTGCCTGGCTGATTTTGTTTTTTGTTTTTTGTTTTTTTTTTAGTAGAGACAACGTTTCACCATGTTGGCCAGGCTGGTTTCGAACTCCCGACCTCAGGTGATCTACCCACCTCGGCCTCCCAAAGTGCTGGAATTACAGGCATGAGCCACCACGCCTGGCCCTACTTAATACATTTAGAGCAAAGTTGATGGCAGGTAGCTGAAACCTTGGAAAGTGAAACCATGGATAAGTGGGGGATACTGTACCATAGGCATGTGACTTTACCTCTTCAAATCTGTCTTACCTGCAAAACCCCTACCCTTAAGGACCTGGCCCATAGTGGATCATCCACAGATGGGAACTGATGTTGGTGTGTAACCACCTGATGAGAGAGAGTGGATTGCGGGGGGTGGGGGTCAGGAAGCTTGGTTTCTCAGCCTAGTTGCCCAGCTGACCGTAAACAAGTCACTTCATTGACCTGTTGTCCTATCAGTAAAGTGAAGACAATAAAGGCAAGAGACTGGCCCCTGTGGCTATGCTCGTACTAGAAATAGAGCTATACAGTGACCCCAAACTGATCAGGGATTGTGGGAAGTAGAGGCACACAAGGCCTTTACCACCTTTTGTCTCCATGCTGTGACTCAGGATATCCACATGTCTGCTTTCCTTGCTTTCCTCTTGTTCGTTGTTTAGCCCTTGTAGGTTTCTTTACCTTGCACTGGCCTTTGTGTAGTGCTCGGGCTGTGATTGGCCTTTGCTGAGACCTCATGCTAGGCGGTTTTCCTGGGTGCTTTGGGTATGAGGAATTCTCAGAGTTCAGTAATAAGAGGAGCAACTCTCCCTCAAATGTGCATGCGTTTTATAAGTTTCCATCGCTTTTCTCATGAGTTGTTGCATTTGATCCTCATAGCCACCCTGTGGGAGACTATCCCCATCTTACAGAAGAGGAAATGAAGGCCCATTTGTGGCAAAGTCTGAACCAGAGCCAAGCTTTTCAGCTCCTAGTCTGGTACTTTTCTCCTCATTGCTGTCTTGTGCCCTCTCCTACTACCGCAAACACACACAAACCCACAAATGAAAAAAGTTGGGACTGATTTAAAATCTAGGCCATCTTGTATTGCTTGCATTTTACACATTGATTAGCAGTGTCATGTCAACATTTTAATGCCCAGTACTTATTAAATAAATGTTTATTAATTCAGATGAACTGGGGGTAGTGTTCGGAATGGCCAGTGTGAATGACAGAAAAATCCCACTTTCTAGACTGGCCTGTGAAATGCTGTTTTATTGTTGATGTGGCAGCAGAAGCTAACCAAATGCTGTTACATACCAGATCTTTCTTTTTTTTTTCTTTCGAGACGGAGTCTCGCTCTGTCACCAGGTGGAGTGCAGTGGCGCGAGGCGTGATCCCGGCTCACTGCAACCTCCACCTCCCTGGTTCAAGCAGTTCTCCTGCCTCAGCCTCCCAAGTAGCTGGGACTACAGGCACACACCACCACGCCTAGCTAATTTTTGTATTTTTAGTAGAGACGGGGTGTCACCATGTTAGCCAGGATGGTCTCGATCCCTTGACCTCGTGATCTGCCTGCCTCAGCCTCCCAAAGTGCTGGGATTACAGGCGTGAGCCACTGCGCCTGGCCACATATCAGATTTTTCTAACCTGCTTTGGGTTCATGAATAAGGACCGTTTGCCATTAATAGCTCCTATCCAGATACCATTAAAATCAGCTCTCCTCTACTTGCACCAGTTTGCCTCGCAAATCTCCCTTTTCTGGATTGGAAGAAGGCAAACTTAATCCCAGAAGCGGTGTGTGAGCACTACTTGTTAGAGGTTTTCACCTGTGCTCGTGAATGACCACTCTGAAATCCCAAAAACAGAGTGTGGCTAGAGAGTAATGTGACTGGTGTTCAAAAATAGCCTAGGGCCGAGTGTAGTGGCTCATGCCTGTAATCCCAGCACTTTGGGAGGCCGAGGCGGGCCGATCATGTGGTCAAGAGTTCAAGACCAGCCTGGCCAACATGGTGAAACCCCATCTCTACTAAGAATACAAAAATTAGATGGGCATGGTGGCGCATGCCTGTAATCCTAGCTACTCGGGAGGCTGAGGCAGGAGAACCACTTGAACCTGGGAGGCGGAGGTTGCAGTGAGCCAAGATCGTGCCACTGCACTCCAGCCTGGGCGACAGAGCAAGACTCCATCTCGAAAAAAAAAAAATAATAATAATAATAATAAAAATAACCTAAAACTCAAACGTGTATATGAGTGCTATCCCTTTCAGAGTCATCTCTTTGAGTAATTGTATATGCATTTCCCGAAGGTTTCATCCGCTGTGATGCTGTGTTCAGAAACTTCTCTAGAACCTGCACCTGCTTTGGTGGGTATTCCAGGGGTGGGTTTGATAAATAAAAACAGTCAAAAGAAGCCTGGACAACATAGGAAGACCTCATCTCTACAAAAAAATTAATAATTAGCCAGGTGTGGTGATGCATGTCTGTAGTCCCAGCTACTGAGGAGGCTGAGGCGGGAGGATTGCTTAAGTCCCAGAGATCAAGTCTGCAGGTAACTATGACCATACCACTGCACTCCAGCCTGGGTGACAGAGTGAGACCCTGTCTCAAAAAAAAAAAAGCAACAAAAACCAGCCTGCCTACCATAATGTTAGCAGTTCTTCTGTCCAAAATGAGGTCTGGCTATAAAATAATTCTGGTTCATGTTAGGCAATTCCTGTATGTGCTGGGCACTGGCAGCTGTTGGAGTAAGTGTACTGCCTTCTGAGGTGACGTCTCTTAAAGGGGGCAAGGTGCATTTTGATTTGAGAGACCTAAAAGCCTGGCCTTCAGCTAACAGCATGAGGGCTGGGAGTCATTTCCCCTCCTTGCATCAGTTTCCTCACTGTTGCGTGATGAAGTGAGACTGGGTGATCTCAGAAGCCTCTCTAGGCTCTGTTATTCTTTGAAAAAAGGCCCTTGTCATTTCAAGCCAGATAACCTCCATGCCCACCATTTTTATGGCCATGGAGTATAAAAATTGGATATTTTTAAAATTAAAAAATTCTGTTTACCATTTCCAATTAAAAACTTTGATTTTGGGGGTTTTTTATTCTTGACTTTTTTTTTTTTTTTAAACAGGGTCTCAAGGTCTCACTCTGGTTGCCCAGAATGGAGTGCAGTGGCATGATCTCAGCTTACTGCAACCTCTGCCCCTTGGGCTCAGGTGATTCTCCCACCTCAGCCTCCTGAGTAGCTGGAACTACAGGGCATGCGCCACCACGCCCGGCTAATTTTTTGTATTTTTAGTAGAGATAGATGGGGTTTCACATTGTTGCCCAGGCTGATCTTGAACTCCTGGACTCAAGAAATCCACCTGCCTCAGCCTCCCAGGAGTGCTAGGATTACAGGTGTGAGCTGCCGTGCCTGGCTTTACTCTTGGCTTTTAACTGTGTGTAGGTCCATAAATAGTGGGTGATTTCGTGACCAAAAAAATGGATCTTAGTGTCAGAGTAAACTTCAGTTTGCTAGTTAGGAATTGTTAATATCTGTCATGTTTATATATTTTTTTCAATATTCCCAATAAGAATAGGACTCTCATGTTTATATAGAACAGAATCAATTTTATGAAATACATGAAAATTCTATGAAATATGTAGAAAAATCTCTTAGAAAAAAATCAGTTTTATTATTGAAATCTCAAGGCCAATACTTCAGTGTAAACTCTGACGCTACAGTTTTCTTTGGGTTTCTTTCCCAGAATAAGCCCTCAACATGTGTTGGCTGCATGAGTGGGAGAGTGAGGAGCAGGATCAACATCTGATGGGAGGGTGCTGCTGGATCCCATGGCTGGCAGCACAGGTCTCTTTTTTTTTTTTTTTTTTTTTTGAGACAGAGTCTCTATCACCCAGGCGGAGTGCAGTGGTGCCATCTCAGCTCATTGCAACTTCGGCCTCCCAGGTTCAAGTGATTCTTCTGCCTCAGCCTCCTGAGTAGCTGGGACCACAGGTGCACACCACTACGCCCGGCTAATTTTTATATTTTTAGTAGAGATGAGGTTTCACCATGTTGGCCAGGCTGGTCTCAAACTCCTGACCTTAAGCGATCTGCCCACCTCGGCCTCCCAAAGTGTTGGGATTACAGGCATGAGCCACTGCGCCCAGCCATGGACTCTTGAAGCTCTACTAGAAGCTCTACTAGAAGAGTTCAGGAAAGGGCTGGAGGGCACCCTCCACATTTTAACAGAACACACGGAGGGAGAAATGCATGTGAAGTGAAAAAAGGAGACCACCTAGGAATTCGAGGAGTCCCCTACCCTTGGGAAGGCGCATGGTGATGGGTGGAAGGTGAGGTGTGACCAGATAGGCTTGGGGCCAGTTTGCTGTGCATTTGTGGTACAAGTGCATACATCAACAGATTGATATTTTGCTTTCCCTGAATTATCTTACCTTACTATCCTGTCTAAAGTAGCACTCTCCCAAGTTCCTTAAAAAAAAAAAAAATCTTTATGGAGATATAATCCACATATGATAAAAATTCCCCCACTTAAAGTGCGTGATTCAGTGTTTTTTTTGTTTTTTGTTTTTTGTTTTTTAATATACTCAAAGAGTTGTGCAGTCATCACCACAGTTGATTTTAGGATATTTTCATCACCGCAAAAGAAACCTCATCACCATAAGCAGCCACTCTCACTTCTCAATCCCCACCAACCCCTGGCATTTTTAATAGAGACGGGGTTTCACCATGTTAGTCAGGATCGTCTTGATCTTCTGACCTCGTGATCCGCCCGCCTCAGCCTCCCAAAGTGCTGGGATTACAGGCGTGAGCCACCGCGCCCAGCCACAGAATGTTTTCAACATTATGCCCTTACTTGCCTTGTTTTGTTTTTTTGTCCTAGTACTTTGCATTGCCCCAAGTCATACTTCACTTGTTTGTTACTGTTTGCTTCCTTCCACCCTCAGGCACTCAGCGCTGCTGGGCATGGACTTTGTCTTAGGTATCAAAGCACTTGGCACAGTGTACTTTACCTTTTGGTTATTGAATGAATGAAGGCAGGCAAGAAGGAAGCATACTCTTTCCCCATTTATCCAGCTACCTCTTGGCTTGCTTTTGTTGAATTGATCAGTTCTCTTCCACGTTGCCTTCTAGTAAGTTGGAAATATAGTGCTGTTTCTATTGATTTTATTAAGTTTTAAATTCATGTTTAAATTTATCTACCAGGATCTGTTTTTTTCACCTAAAGAAGACAAGAACCACCATAATCCCAACACTTTGGGAGGCAGAAGCGGGCGGATTGCTACAGCCCAGGAATTTGAGATTAGCCTGGGCAACATGGGGAGAACCTGTCTCTGCAAAAAATAAAAAAATTAGCCAGGTATGGTGTTGCTTGTCTGTAGTCCCAGCTACTCAGGAGACTGAGGTGGGAGGATCACTTGAGCCCAGGAGGTCGAGGCTGCAGTGAGCCAGGATCGCACCACTGCACTCCAGCCTAAGTGACAGAGTGAGAGCCTGTCTCACAAAAAAAAAGGAAAAGACAAAACCAAGCACACTTTTACTTTCTCCTCATTGCCCATTCCAAAATTTTTTTTACATTATGTACCAAGTTACTTAGACTTAATTCTAACTTTTAATATTATTATTATTATTATTATTATTTTAGATGGAGTCTCTCACTGTCGCCTGGGCTGGAGTGCAGTGGTGCGATCTCGGCTCACTGCAACCTCCACCTCCCAGGTTCAAGCACTTTTCCTTGCCTCAGCCTCCCAAGGAGCTGGGATTACAGGCGCCCGCCACCATGCCTGGCTAATTTTTTTTTGTATTTTTAGTAGAGACGGGGTTTCACTCTGTTGGCCAGGCTGGTCTTGAACTCCTGACTTCAGGTGGTCCACCTGCCTCAGCCTCCCAAAGTGTTGGGATTACAGGCATGAGCTACTACATCCGGCAACACCTCCTTTTTTTTTAAATGACATTGATTTTTTTTTTTTTTTTGAGACGGAGTCTCGCTCTGTCGCCCAGGCTGGAGTGTAGTGGCGCAACCTCGGCTCACTGCAAGCTCCGCCTGCCAGGTTCACGCCATTCTCCTGCCTCAGCCTCCCGAGTAGCTGGAAGTACAGGCACCCGCCACCACGCCCGGCTAATTTTTTGTATTTTTAGTAGAGATGGGGTTTCACCATGTTAGCCAGGATGGTCTCGATCTCCTGACCTCGTGATCCGCCCGCCTTGGCCTCCCAAAGTGTTGGGATTACAGGTGTGAGCCACCGCACCCAGCCAAATGACACTGATTTTTTAAATTAATTTACAGATCAGTACAAGCCATGATTTTTTTTTTTTTTTGTAGGAGTCACCTTGTAGTTTTTTCTCATGGTTTCCTTATGTTGTCTTTTCACTTGTTTCTTTATTCCTTGTATTTCCTGTAAGCTAGAAATGTGGGGACTCGATGAGCCTAAAGTTAAACCATTCTGGCAAGAATGCGTCCTAGGGGATGTTGTGGGCTTCATCCTGCAGCACAGGAGGCAGCCCCCGGTGCCACGTTCCATACTAGTAATGGGGCCTGTTTGATCACCTGGTTAGGGTGGTGTTTACCAGCTTTCTCCATTTCTGTTGATTTCTAAAGATTTCTCTTTGTTCTTTGGACTTATTTCTTGATCGCTTAAGAGCCACGGCCTTCCATTTGGAGCACCAGACCAGTTGAAATAGGGCTAAAAGGGAAGAACCCTTGGAACCTGGAAGGTGGTACTCTGTCGAGCTTAGTTATGGTTGTTGGCTGAGAATTACCCATCTGACACCCTGTATGTAAATTACATAGCATGGCAACTTGTGCATGGTTTATTTGTTCATTGATTCCTTAGGTACCTGCTCTCTCCCAGGCACTGTTCTAGGTACCAGAGAGAGAAAGGTAAGTAAGAGGCAGTCTCTGGGGACTCACCTCTGGTGGAGAAAATATATGTAGACAGGTAATTAGCATGCAATGCTATTAATGCTGTGGCTGTGGTAACTGAGGCTTCTGAACCAAGAGTTGGACTGCATGGCCTGACAAGTACTCATCTTTCACCTCCACACATTGTGGCAACAGCCAGCCAAACATGGACAGTCAGGGCTGTTCCTGGAAGGCAGGGCCATGTGGCTGCCGTGGCTGTCCTAGGGAGGTGTGCTGAGTTCTGTGGAGCTTGGTGGGGGGCTTTAATCCACACTCCTCAGGGCCACAGAGGCGTGAAGGGGAGGGAGGCCCTGGAAGATTCATGAGAGATTCCTAGGGAAGTGAGATGGGCAGGGCTTTGAACGCCATGGCTGCCTCTGTGCAGAGCTGTGGCCCTGGGAGGGAGGAGTGTGATGTTTGTCTAAGCTGCATGCAGCTGGAGAATGGGGGCAGATGAGAGCATGGCAAATACGAGGGCCAGCCTGGTGGCACTGGCAGGCTGTGGGCCTGGGGGCCATAGGCAGCGAAACAGCCAGCTGTGCCTGGGAGCCCGGGGAGGAGGGTTTGCTCTAGAGAGTTGAAGAGGTGACCGAGTGGCTTGGAGGGTGAGGGTGAGGGACTCGTGAGGCCAGTCTGGGCCATCGTTGATGACCAAAGTAGCAGGGAACTGGAGGGATGGTTTGAGGGTTGGGGTTGTTCAGTGTGGGCCATAGGACATCTGAATCCCTTGTGCCTGGGCCCTTGCAGCGGAGGAATTTGGGGAAAAGAGGTGTGGGGTTTACGGGAATTCTTGTGGAGGCTGTGAGGGCTCCAAGAGGCTGTCTACCAGGGACACTGGCACTTGCAGCCCTGACTCTGAGGATGCTGTCAATGTTTGCTGAAAACCCTTCCTGATGGGCCCCCCAGCTGAGCGGTGCCCACCGCGAGCTCCTGCACGCTGCCTTGGTTTCCTCATTACCCCAAATGTTTCCCTGGTGCTGAAAGGAGCCTGCAAGCAAGCAAGGTGTTTGGGTGGCAGCAGGCTGGTCGTGGATGCCCTTAGCTTCCTGCGAGGAAGAGGAATACCCGGAAGAGGTGGCACTTGGCAAGCAGATGAGGCAGGACTTGTTGGCCAGAGGCCAGGGTCGTTTCCCACAGTGCACCTTTTTCTCATCCAAGCTGTTCAGGAACGGGTTTGATTCCTGCAGGAGGTGCCAGTGGCAGTGAGATTTCTTGGAAGCAGTTTCTATGTGCTTGCGGAGGAGCCGCGTCCATGGTAAAGGACACCAGGCTTCGGAGTCAGACAGACCTCTGCTGATGCTTCATTCCTGTGACCCCTCAGACATAAGGAGTAATGAGACCCACCTTCTAGGGTTGTCACGGGATGAAGTGGCCTGACACACAGGGAGCACTGACAGACAGTGCCAGGTGCCCACAGAACTCTGCCTTCCTGGCTTTCATGGCCTCTGGCCCCTTGCTTTCACCAGGCCTGCAAAACGTCGTGGGTTACTGTGCTTCCTGGGTGACTGGGGAGGAAACTTGAACTGCGAGAAGCTGACAGGGCCATCCCTCATCACGTGCTGGTGGAGTACAGGAACAGGAACGCACATCCTGGATTTTTCTTCACTCTGCATCGCCACCAAGCCTCCCAAGGAGAGCTGCATTGTAACAAGGGACAAAGAAAGCCATTTCTCATGCTGGGCCTTCAGGCACTCATTTTTAAGAGGTGGGAGGAATTTTGGGCATGAGAGTCTGTCCTGGTCCTCTACTCCCCTATTGCAGAGGAGAATTTGTGCCCCCGACACCAGACTGCATGCATTGCAGTCTGCTCTGCCTGCCGCCAGCCTGTGTCGCTGGTCCAGCCTGGTCTTACCTTTCTTGTCCTTGCTTTGGTCTCTCTCCACCTGTCTGGCCAGATGGTGGCAGGCTGTGTCCTTAGCTGGTTAATATGCTAGAGGTTTTGCTGTCTTACCATGGTGCTTCACAGTGCTTCACTCCCTGGCCTGTGGCCTGCTTGTGAGCCCAGGGCCAAACCTTTCCCTGGAGGACCACAGCATGGTGGGAGGAGGGACAGCGGCAGTCAGGAGCTCGCATGGCCCACAAACTCCACCTCCTGGTTTGACTTACCACATCCCAAGACACAATGAAAAATAGCTCAGGAACTTGTATTTGGGTCAGTCTGACCAGTTTTCAGAGTTTGTCCTGAGAACTAACTTTTCCAAGGTCCCTCTCTAATATGAAGAAGCAAGGAACTTTCCACTGCCTGCTTCGTTACTCAGGAGAAAGTCTTGTCAAGTAAAACCTTCCTCTGTTTCCATTGGGAGGGACAGATGCTGGACACAGGTCCCAGAGCCGAACTTCAGTGGTGCTTTTAACCTAGTAAGCAGGATTGATTTCCCACTGGGGCACATCTGAACTCACTCAGTGGGAACGTGAACTAGGAATCCCTGGAAAGCAGCTTTCAGCCCTGCTGCACGGGCCTGACTACTGGGACCTGCCCACAGTGGACTGCTGATGTGTTGAGGCCCTTCTCTGTGCAGGCACTGTGCAAGTATTGATGGTGCCAAGAGGAATAAGACAGGGTCTTTCTCCTCAGGGAACCCATTCCTGATGGCAAGAGAGGGACATAGGAACCAGGAGCCAAGTGGTAGCCCGAGGTCAATTTCCACTACAAAGCCCGCTTTTTGTTTGTTTTTTAATGTTAACTTTTTTTTTTTTTTTTGAGATGGAGTTTCACTCTTGTTGCCCAGGCTAGAGTGCAATGGCATGGTCTCGGCTCACTGCAACCTCCACCTCCCAGGTTCAAGTGATTCTCCTGCCTCAGCCTCCTGAGTAGATGGGATTATAGGCATCCACCACCATGCACGGCTAATTTTTGTATTTTTAGTAGAAACAGCGTTTCACTATGTTGGCCAGGCTGGTCTCGAATCTTGACCTTAGGTGATTTGCCTGCCTTGGCCTCCCAAAGTGCTGGGATTACAGGCATGAGCCACTGCGCCTGGCCCTGTTTTTTTTGTTTTGTTTTGTTTTGTTGTTGTTGTTTGTTTTTTGAGATGAAGTTTCACTCTGTTGCCCAGGCTGGAGTGCAGTGGCACGATCTCGGCTCACTGCAACCTCCATCTCCCAGGTTCAAGCAGTTCTCGTGCTTCAGCCTCCTGAGTAACCAGGCTGACAGACATGTACCACCATGCCCAGCTAATTTTTGTATTTTTAGTAGAGACAAGGTTTCGTCACGTTGGCCAGGCTGGTCTTGAACTGCTGGCCTGAGGTAATCTGCCCACCTCAGCCTCCCACCCTGGCCTAAAGCCTGTTTTGTTTGGCCGGCAGAAGGGTGGTTGGCTGGTTTGTTACTATTGAACTTGTTTTAGATAGCATATCCTTTTCTGATAGCCAGCGGGTCCCACAAGTCCTGTCTCCTTACTGCCTTTTATGTCACTTGTCTGGCCCCAAAGCCCAATAGTGCGGGACATTTTGACTTAGATGGATAACCCATTCTGTGATGTGTGTTGTTGTAGGGGCAAGAGTAAAGAGCTATGGGAACATGAAGGAAAGAAGAGTTAATTCTGCTCAGGGTTGGACCACAGGCCCATGGTGTCAGGGAAAATGAGAGACTTTTGAACTGGGGTCCTGAAGGGTAGGTAGGAGTGCACCAAAAGGTTAAGATGAATGCAGTTTATCCCAGAAAAGATAACGGCGAGAACAGCACTGCCTTGTCATGAGTGTGGAGACTCAGAGCGTAGTATAAGCTGGGAGTTATGTTTAGAGATTAGAAGAGGAAAGAAGCCTTATCCCTCACCCAACATGTGCTTCCCGACTGAGGCAGCGATGGGCAGGACTGAGCCCTTCTGTCACCAAGGTGAAAGAAGGGCCTGAAGCCCAGGACTGAAACCCTTGCAGCCTTGAAATCCCCACCCCATATGAAACTTACCTGCCAACCCTTGCTGAGTGGGAGAGGAGGGGGAGTGCTGCTTTTCTGAGCATACACACTCTGGGAGCCCTTTTCCTCCCTAATTAGGCCTTACCCATACCCTCTGGGTCCAGTAGATGCTTCTGGACTTCACCTTTCCCCGAAAGTCAATTATAAGACAAGCCTGCTGGGAAAAGTTCAAATAGCTGGTGATATGCTAGGTGAGAGGGCTTGGAGCTCATTCACAGTTTACAGTCCCTGTTGGCTGGTCAGGTTAGTGGCTGGTCAGGTGAGTGTGCAGGAGGAGAGCTTGGGGGTGGGGGATAGAGAAAGTGCGGTTTCCGCTCTCAACTTGGCAGATGTTTTCAGCAGTTTAAGGTTGTTTATGTCCCCTGGGCAGTGAAAAACACCTTAGCCATAACAATGTACAGCTCGCTCAGCTGACAGTGTAAAAGGTTCACGGGGCAAAATGGTCCTCAGTACTCTCCTCCAGATTATGTTTCTGTCGGGCACCTTCTACATGCCAGGCACTGTGCTAGGTGCTATGCAGATTGCAGAAAACTAGCCTGATGCAGCCCGTGCCCTTGTGGAACTCATGAGGCAGAGAAAGTAAACCTTTAAAAAGTGTGTGTGCATGTGTGTGTGTGTGCATGTCAGGCAGTGACGTGCACTAAAGAAAAATAAATTGGGGTTGGGACAGGATGGGACTGCTCTTTTAAGAAAGGCCTCTTGGCCAGGTGCGGTGGCTCGTGCCTGTAATCCCAGCACTTTGGGAGGCCAAAGCGGGCAGATCACCTGAGGTCAGGAGTTCGAGACCAGCCTGACAAACATGGTGAAACCCTGTCTCTACTAAAAATAAAAGAATTAGCCGGGCGTGGTGGCACACACCTGTAATCCCAGCTACTTGGGAGGCTGAGGCAGGAGAATTGCTTTAAGCTGGGAGGCGGAGGTTGCAGCGAGCAGAGATCGTGCCACTGCACTCCAGCCTGAGTGACAGAGTGAGACTTCATCTAAAAAAAAAAAAAAGCATAGATGGGAATGAATGAGGAGGCCAGTCACATGGGCGTCTGGGAGAGCTTTTCAGGCAGGGAACACCAAGGACAAGGGCCTCGGTGCAGAGGCCTTGGAGTACTCCAGGAATGGCCAGCAGGCAGCTAGAGGCAGATCCTGGGGTTGCCACCTAAGGGTTGACGGCAGAGGAGTTACAAGATCCTAGCACTGTTTCAGAAGCTGCATTGTTCTGTGTGCAGAAAATGGACTGGGTGAATTGGAGGTGTGGAGACAGGCCTGAGGCCGTTTGTGTAGACCCTGGTAAGAGGCTGGAGTGGCGGTAGGGAGGTGGGGATAAGTGGGTAGGAGGAGGGCACAGCTAGGGCAGATGCAGTGGGGACTTGGAGCCCAAGTGTCCCTGCTGGTCCCAGCCTCTCCCAAGGCAGAGAGACAGCCAGCCTGGAGTCCAGGACTCTGCGTTGGGATGCCTTGGCCGAGTCCCAGCGCCCCTCAGAGCCTCCCTCTTTTCTCTATAATGTCGGCTCCTGGTCTCTGCCTGCAGGCAGTGGCAAGGACGAGTGAGATGGCCGGGACCCCCAGGAGTCCACAGGGTGGGTCTACTTGCCTTCTGAGACACTGAGCCTAGGCCTGGCCTCTCCAATAGATGGTAAGATGGTTTCTGGTTGCTGTGTCTTGTCACCTGCCTGTTTCAAAAGTAACGTAGTTAAAGTGACAGATCAGAGGCATTCAGCTCTCATCCAGCCTCCCTTGGGTGCTGCCTAATGCCAGCTGGCTTGGTTGGGGTGGGGAGGGGTCTGGTCTGGGGAAGGGGCTCTCCTGGCTTGGCTTCCGCCTCCTCTTTTGGAATATAGTAGGCATGGGTGAAGTGATCAAGCTGCCTGTTACACTAATTCCTCTCTGTGATCCCATGACAAGACTGCTCCACCCAGTGACCTGAGTGATTTTTTTTTTTTTGAGATGGAGTCTCGCTCTGTCACCCAGGCCTGGAGTGCAGTGGCACTATCTCGGCTCACTGCAAGCTCTGCCTCCTGGGTTCACACCATTCTCCTGCCTCAGCCTCCTGAGTAGCTGGGACTACAGGCGACCGCCACCACGCCCAGCTAATTTTTTGTATTTTTAGTAGAGACGGGGTTTCACCATGTTAGCCAGGACGGTCTCGATCTCCTGACCTCGTGATCTGCCCGCCTCGGCCTTCCAAAGTGCTGGGATTACAGGTGTGAGCCACCATGCCTGGCTGTGATATTTTAAAAACAAACCAGAGCACATCTTGTCTTAGCCCAGGCTTCCCGTGGAAAACAGAGCCAGAGAGAAGGGCTCACATGCTTAGCTTTTGTTTTGGAGACTGACCTGGAGAAGGAGGCAAGGCTTAGATAGAGCTGCATCTTTCATTTAGCTGCCATGGGCAGTGGTCTTGACCCTGAGGACTTTACAAGGTGCATGAGGAATGTGTCTCACAGTGGTCCCTCTGAGAGGTGGGAGAGAAGAGCTTTATCCCTGTTCCCCGTTGGTCACAGGTGATCCCTAGGGTGCGGAGGCCTCTCTCTTCTGGGTCATGGAGGCATGAGCACACAGTGCTTTCCGGCAGGCCTCCCTGGCCAGACTCAGAGATGCTCCCAGGCAGGGAGTGAGGGGCACGGTGTGGGCAGGCCTTTGTGTGTGTGCAAAGCTGGTTGCTGCAGCAGTGGCTGGAGTGCAGGGTGCGCTGATAAGATATGTGAGTGGGAGAAAAGAGGAGACTGGCTCATATTTCCCTGCCTGAGACAATCTCCAGTGGCTTTACGTTGCAAGAAAAATGAAATCCACACTCTTAACTTTGGCCTGCAAGATCCTATATGCTCTGGCTCTGGCCCATGTCTCTGAACGTGTCTCCTCCCAGTTTCCTTCTTCACGGCCATCTGGCCACACTGCCCTTTCCATGTCTCTAACACGGTAAGCATTCTCCTGCCTCTGAGCCTTTGTCCTGTTCCCCTGCCTGAACACCGTCCATGTGGTTGGCTCTTCATCACTCAGGCCTCAGCTCAGACACTTGCTCAGATCATCAAATAGGCTGGCATCCACCCCCTGTGCTGTCTGCCTGGCTTTCACATTCTGTAGCGTGCTCATGATCACCTTCTAAAAGGATCTGTGGCACATTCTGTCTCCTCTTACTAGGATGGAGCTGGTTTTGCTCCGTTCCCTGCTATATCCCCAGTTACCAGAGCAGAGGCTGGGACAAGGCAGGAGCTCAGCGCATGTTGAATGAAAAATGAACGACTCATGTACACAGCCTAGTATGTTTTTCTTTTGGTACTATATGTATTCTCTTTTGCATTTAAGTTCCTTTGTGTATATTAAAAACATTTGCCACAAAATTATAATAGCTCAGTAAATATTGTTAAACGGATGCATTTATCAGCACCTTCTCCATGCTAGCACTTGGGCACATGGGTTTGGTCATTTGACTCTGACAGCACCTTTTTGTACGGATGAAAAACAGAATGGCCGGGCGCAGTGGCTCACACCTGCAATCCCAGCACTTTGGGAGGCCATGGCGGGTGGATCACCTGAGGTCAGAAGTTCGAGACCAGCCAGGCCAACATGGCGAAACCCTGTTTCTACTAAAAATACAAAATTAGCTGGGTGTGGTGGCACACGCCTGTAATCCCAGCTACTCGGGAGGCTGAGGCAGGAGAATCGCTTCAACCTGGGAGACAGAGGTTGCGGTGAGCAGAGATCACGCTACTGCACTCCAGCCTGGGCGACAGAGCGAGACTCGTCTCAAAAAAAAAGAAAAACAGAATGAAGTTTTAGCCTAGAGACACAAAGCTGGTGACAGAGCATCAGGTCATGAGCTCAGGCTTGTTGGCCCCAGCGTACCACCGCTACCCTGTATCCTTCCCTTCCTCTAATTTGGGGGAATAGGATGGGAATACTACCAGCCATGGGAAGGGTCTACTTTCCCAAAATATCTTCTCCATTACTGCCCACAGTTCACCAGCTGGTTGGCCTACATACCTTAATCAGTAGTTATTTTGTTGGTTTTTCATTTAGTTTTTATTTTAAGCAAACTTAACTTGTGTGTGGTTTGAGGAGTCATTTGGTTCTACAAGGATTGGTAGCAGAAGGTCTTAGGATATTGCCAACCCCCTGCCCTAGAGCAGCCACTTCCACCTCTTCTTTTGAAATAGGGTCTCAGTCTGTTGCTCAGGCTTTAGTGCAGTGGTACCATCTGGCATTTCTTGCAGGGCAGCTTTTTTCCAAGGAGCTTCTCTCTACTTCCATTTATCTGCAAACGTCTTGATTTCACCCTGTCTTATGAGGGAAAATTTTGTTTGACAAGTACTTCAGCATTGAGAGTTTTTTCTTTCCGCACTTGTTTTTTTCTTTTTAGCACTTCTCAGCATTGTCTTCTGGCTTCCATTATTCTGAGAAGTGGTTGTCATTTGTATTGTTGTTCCCATGTATGGAATATGTCTTTTATCAGACTGCTTTTCATATTTCCCCTTTATTCTTGTTTTCTGTCATTTTGACTGTGATCTGCTTTTGTGTATTTTGTATTTTTTCTGCTTGGGGTTTGCTGAGCTTCTTGGATCTTTAAGCCAGGTATGTTTCATCAGATTTGGAGATTTTTCAGTCATTAGTTCTTTGAGTATTCTTCCCCCATTATCACTATCTTTTCCTGGAACTGCAATTATGTGAGTATGAGACAGTTTGGTATTATCTCACATATCCTTCCGATTTTATTCATTTTCTTCAATCTTTTTTCCCCTTCCTCATATTAACTCTTTATTGATTTTTCTTCAGGTTCACTGATTTTTTTTTTCTGCCATCTATAATCTGCTATTAAGTTCATCCAGTGAATTTTCCACTTACTATAATTTTTAGTTCTAGAATTTCCACTAATTTAAAAATTAAGTTTAGGCTGGGCGCAGTGGCTCACGCCTGTAATCCCAGCACTTTGGGAGGCCGAGGCGAGTGGATCACCTGAGGTCGGGAGTTCGAGACCAGACTGACCAACATGGAGAAACCCTGTCTCTACCAAAAATACAAAATTAGCCGGGTGTGATGGCACGTGCCCATAATTCCAGCTACTCAGGAGACTGAGGCAGGAGAATCACTTGAACTCAGGAGGCGGAGGTTGCGGTGAGCGAAGATCGTGCCATTGCACTCCAGCCTGGACAACAGAGCGAAACTCCGTCTCAAAAAAAAAATTAAGGCCAGGCGCGGTGGCTCACGCCTGTAATCCCAGCACTTTGGGAGGCTGAGGTGGGCAGATCACAAGGTCAGGAGATCAAGACCATCCTGGCTAACACAGTGAAACCCTGTCTCTATTAAAAATACAACAAATTAGCTGGGCATGGTGGTGGACGCCTATAGTCCCAGCTGCTTGGGAGACTGAGGCAGGAGAATGGCATGAACCCGGGAGGCGGAGGTTGCAGTGAGCCGAGACCGCGCCACTGCACTCCAGCCTGGGTGACAGAGTGAGACTCCGTCTCAAAAAAAAAAAAATTAAGTTTAACATATATATATTTTTTGAGACAGTTTTGCTCTGTTGTCCAGGCTGGAGTGCAGTAGCGTGATCTGGGCTCACTGCAACCTCTGCCTCTGAGGTTCAAGGGATTCTCATGCCTCAGCCTCCCGAGTAGTTGGGATTACAGGAGCATACCACGATGCCTGGCTAATTTTTGTATTTTTGGTAGAGATGGGGTTTTACCATGTTGGCCAGGCTGGTCTTCAACTCCTGACCTCAAGTGATCCACCTGCCTTGGCCTCCCAAAGTGCTGGGATTATGGGCATGAAACACTGCACCCAGCCCGTAATTTTAATAATAATAAATAGTTTAATAAAACATTTATGTTTTAAGAAATAATTTTTCATTTATTTCCTTAAATCCCCTATTCGTCCACTCATTATGGCGATGTTTTTCTTTAACTCTTTGAACATACTTTCCTTGTAATTTTCTGAACATATTTAAAATCGCTGCTTTAAAGTCTCCCTACTAAATACAATATCTGGGCCATTTTGGCATCAGTGTCAATAGATTGCTTTTTCCCTTATCTGTGGTTCATATTTTCCTGTTTCTTTGCACGTTTAGCAATTTTCAATAGTATATGGAAATTGTGGTTGATAACTTAACGAGACTCTGGATTCTGTTACCTTCTTTAGAAGAGTGTTGATTCTTGTCCTAGTAGTCAATTCAGTTACTGGCTGATCACCTTGAAGTTATTCGTTTAGGCTTGTTTTTTATGTTTTGTTAGGGTGGATATGTGGAAAGACTAAGGTGTTTCTGAGCCTCGCTAATGTGGCAGAACTCAACCTCCAAACCCAAGGCTTATGTTGGTGAGGGCAGGTCTATGGAGGCCTATTCTTTAGGCATGGTCCTCACCCATAGTGACGTTCTGATAGCTCATATACGGGTCGCTAATGAGACACTAATGAGGCCTGTTCACTGTGTCTGGCTTGGAACTTCAGCATCCCCTAGCACTCCTGAACCTCTATCTCTGGTCTGTTCTCAACTCTGGAAGGGGCACTCTCTGGTCAAGAGCTCACTGGGACACCTCACATAGACTTTTGGGCTCCCCCTACTTATGTCTTCTCATTTCATCACATCATCTGCTCCAGACCCTGATCTCTGCCTCCTTAGCTCAGTGGGACCACTGTGCTCTGCTTGGATTCTAGCCCCATGGTCAGGAAACTCCCAGGTAGAGTGTCACAATGATCATGAGGTGCCTTTCATGAGTTTTTCCTTTTTTAGGGGTTATGGTCTCAGGCCGCTTGTTATCTACATTCCAAAAACGACAGCCTCATATATTTTCTCCAGTCCTGTGGTGTGTGTGGAGGGAGGGCTACTCTGCCACCAGCGATGCTGCCATGGCTGGAAGCTGCTCCAGGAGCCCTCTGACCGGCTCCAAGTTGGCTGATGTCTAGGCTGCTGCTCAGGTATTATCCTGGGATTTATCTCTCTTTCCATCATCCTGGCATCTCCCTTTGCCTCCCTTTTCAGTTGAACTCTCTGTTTTCTGGATCCCACATTTTCTTATTTTTTGTTGATTTCTTTAGGTAGAGGAACTTTCAGTCACTCCCTGAGGAAGGGTAGCAGGAAGGTGAATTTTTCGAGGACTGTATGTCTGGGAGTGCCTTTATTAAACCCTCACACTTGACTACTGGTTGGTTGGGTAGAGAATTCTAGGTTGGAAATAATTTTTCTCCTCATTTTAAGGCATTGTTTTGTTGGCTGTCTAATGCCACATGGGTCTTTTGTGTTCTTTCTTCTTGCCTGTTGTTCTGGAACTTCTGCCCATGGATGCAGTGTGGTCTGCTCTGCTCCATTGTGTGTGTGCCTGGTGGGCCCCTCAGTCAATTCTGGATACTTTTCTTGAAATACTTGATTTCCTCTCCTTGATTGTATTGTTCTCTTTTTCTGAAACTCTGATTATCCTGCTCTCCTAGGCTGCTTCTTAATTTTCTTTTCTTTTCTTTTCTTTTTTTTTGAGACAGTCTCACTCACTCTGTCGTCCAGGCTGGAGTGCAGTGGCGTGATCTCGGCTCACTGGAACCTCTGCCTCCCAGGTTCAAGCGATTCTCCTGCCTCAGCCTTCCCAGTAGCTGGGATTACAGGCGTGCACCACCACACCTGGTTAATTTTTGTATTTTTAGTAGAGATGGGGTTTCACCATGTTGGCCAGCCTGGTCTCGAACTCTTGATCTCAGGTGATCCTTCTGCCTTGGCCTCCCAAAGTACTGGAATTACAGGCTTGAGCCACCGCACCTGGCTTTCAATTTTATTTTCTCTCTTTTCCATTTCTTTGTATTTTTTCTCTACTTTGGAGGGATTTCTTCAACTTTATCTTCCAACCCTGATGTTGCATTTTTCATGTATGTTAATCATATTTTTAATTGAGCTCTTTTTTCTTTCTGAATGCGCCTCACCAAAAAAGATACTATTCTTTCCTTGTTCCATGAATCTTTCCCTATTTCTGAAACATTGACGATTGTTTGAGTACTTTGCCTCTGTGTTGTTTCTTCTGTGTTGTGTTTTTGCTGTTGTTTGGCCGGTGTCTTTCGTGTTATGTGTGGAGACGAGTTATCTCCACACCAGAGGTTATCTGGATCCCAGGCTTGTGTGGTACACACATAAACCTTGCACTTCACCCCATGCTGCCATGCATGAGCTGCAAGACGCATGAACTATGGAACATAGGCCTGGTTTTCTTAGAGCCACTCACTGAGGAGTAAATGGGACAACTCAGGAAAGAGGAGTCTTATTTGGCACATTGTGGCCCAGAGCTTTCACTCTCAGACTTCTGTGTTGGGGCTGGGGCAATGGTGGTCACCTCCACAGTGCCAGGGGCAGAGGCCCTGCCTTCAGGAACTGTCTGGGCCTCTGTGGCTTTTCCCCACCCCAGACAGACCTTGAGAGAAAGACCTTTCTCACATACCTTGAGAACTAGGTAAAGAGACACCCCGAGTGTTTGTGCCTGCAAAGGGGGCTGATGGACCTGCAGCTTGGCACACGCCACAAGCTGGGTGTCAGTCTTCAGAGAGCCATGAGAACCTGTGATTGGTGGGGCAGAGAAGGCACACCCGATCCCCAAGGTGTTTGGTCACCAAGATCCCTGGCATATGCCCCTTGGCTGGTGATCTCTGCCCAGAGTGGGCAGCCTCCTGGCCCCGCACAGACCTCTGCCCCTACCTGGCCTGGTATCCATCCTGCCAGACTCTGCTTCTAAAAGACACTAGGGAAGCTCCTCCCACCCATGGGCACCTCTTCTCCACAGCCCACATCTGGTGGGAGATGGGGCAGAGTAGGTGTTAAATGAAGACATGGGTGGCCAAAGCTCCTTGCTTTGGCCAAGCTGGGTCAGCTGGTGGAAACTGCCTTGTACTTAAAGGCCCCATGGGAGGACTCTGCCCATTGCCACCACCAGTCACCCTTCCCACAGTCCTCATCACCAAGCTGTAGAGTCCTGAGGGAACCCTAATGCTGGAGGAGCCTCACACACAGCTGGGTACGTGATGCTCTTGTAGGGGAGGGTACCTGGCCGTGCCTACTGCTGGCCGTGCAGTGCACCTGGAGCCAGCTTTCCAGCCGCCGGCCGCTTGAGCACTGGTGGTTCTGTTTTCGCAGCAGTGGGCCCAGTCCTGAGGGGAGAGGGGCACACGGAGGGGCACGCGGAGGACCTGGGTCAGCTCAGAGTGTACCCCTTCCTCCATCTTTCCCTGGGGACCCTAGAGGGCCAGGACAGGGGCTGCTCACCTTCCCTTTGCTTCCCCATTTTTCCAACAAGGTTGAGCCATTGAGTTGCTTTCTAAGGACTCAGAAGGCCTCCTAGCCCAGTGGAACCACAGCTCTGGGTGTGGGTCTGTGGGGTCACTCTGCCTGTCCCCATGTTCAGCCTGTGCCACTGGGTTCACTGAGGAACCTTATTTCTTTAGCTGCAGATCTGGGACACGGCCGGCCAGGAGCGGTTCCGCACCATCACCCAGAGCTACTACCGCAGTGCCAATGGGGCCATCCTTGCCTACGACATCACCAAGAGGAGCTCCTTCCTGTCGGTGCCTCACTGGATTGAGGATGTGAGGAAGTATGCGGGCTCCAACATTGTGCAGCTGCTGATCGGTGAGTTGGGGATTCCTCGGGACCACAAATCCCATCACTCTGCCTGTCCATGCCTCCCTCTGCTTTTTAAACACAGTGTAACCCTGAGTTCAGAGGGAGTCCCAGCCAGAGTTTGAGCCATGGTTTTGCAAATCCTGATCCTGCTAATCACTTAGAAAGTTACATTCAAGGCCGGGCACGGTGGCTCACGCCTGTAGTCCCAGCACTTTGGGAGGCTGAGGCGGGCGGATCACAAGGTCAGGAGATCGAGATCATCCTGGCTAACACAGTGAAACCTCGTCTCTACTAAAAAAATAAAAAAAAATTAGCCGGTTGTGGTGGCAGGCGCCTGTAGTCCCAGCTGCTGGGGAGGCTGAGGCAGGAGAATGGCATGAACCTGGGAGGCGGAGCTTGCAGTGAGCTGAGATCACGCCACTGCACTCCAACCTGGGTGACAGAGCAAGATTCGTCTCAAAAAAAAAAAAAAAAAAAAAAAAAAAAGAAAGTTATATTCAAAATTGGAATTAGAGGAAAGAAGAAAGAGAGCTGAAGTTTGCTCTGCTGTTCTTCACATGTGTCAAGATTTAGCTCTTGTACCCCGGCTTCTCCTCATTTGACAGGGGCTGGGGCTAGGCTCAGAAAAGTGCAGTGATTTATCCGGGTCCACATGGCCTGTGAGCATACACATGTAGGCTTTGAGTTTGCTTCTGCTGACCTCAAGTCTGTGGCTTTCTCTGTTGTGCCGCACACAGAGCAGGGACACTTGATGGCTTCCGTGCCTCAGAATCCCACAGAAGTCTTCTTCAAGTGCAGCTGCAGGGCCTCAACCTCCAGAGCATCTGATCCAGGCGGGCTGGGTGGGGCCCATGAATGTGCGTTTCTAACAAATTCCCAAGTGACACCCACCTTGCTGGTCCAAGGATCCCACTTTGAGAACTGCTGCTGTGGAAGGATGCTGTTTACCTTTGTTTTCCTTCTATATAACCTTCCCAGACCTGGACTGGAGAAGCTCTTTAGCTCTTATGTTATCCCTGGGGTCCTCACCCCAACAGGTTGATTCTTTTTTTTGAGACAGAGTCTTACTCAGTCACCCAGGCTGGAGTGCCGTGGCGTGATCTTGGTTCTGCAAGATCTGCAAAACCACTGCAACCTCTGTCTCCCTGGTTCAAGCGATTCTCCTGCTTCAGCCTCCCGAGTAGCTGGGCCAACAGGTTGATTCTTCTGACTCAAATGTACAGACAGGGCCTGGACCTGACTCCAGCCAGGAAGAGGGTGGTGCCTGGTTCCATGTGGCCTGCCTTCCACAGCCTGTTCAGACTAGGACATGGAGTGCTTGGCATGAACAGAGCTTTCCTCACGTAGCCTAACCATTTCCCCACCTTTTCTTGCTGGGGGTGGGGGACGGAGTCTCGCTCTGTCGCCAGGCTGGAGTGCAGTGGCACGATCTTGGCTTACTGCAACCTCCGCCTCCCGGGTTCAAGCAATTCTCCTGCCTCAGCCTCCTGAGTAGCTGGGACTACAGGCACGCACCACCACACCTGGCTAACTTTTGTATTTTTAGTAGAGACTGGGTTTCACCATGTTGGCCAGGATGGTCTCGATCTCCTGACCTCGTGATCCACCCGTCTCGACCTCTAAAAGTGCTGGGATTACAGGTGTGAGCCACCACACCCAGCCACCAATTCCCATTTATCCAGGACATTTCTGAAAAACATTCCAGCCTGGCATGGTGGCTCACACCTGTAATCCTAACACTGAGAGGCTGAGGTGGGTGGATTGCCTGAGTTCAGGAGTTCAAGACCAGCCTGGGCAACATGGTGAAACCCCATCTCTACTAAAAATACAAAAATTAGCCAGGCATGGTGGCACACACCTGTAATCCCAGCTACTGCGGAGGCCAAGGTAGGAGAATCGCTTGAACCTGGGAGGCGGAGATTGTAGTGAGCCGAGATCGTGCCACTGTCCTCCAGCCTATGCGACAGAGTAAGACTCTGTCTTCCAAAAAATAATTAATTAAAAAACATTCTATTATAGAACTTTTTTTTTTTTTTGAGACAGAGTCTCACCCTGTCGCCCAGACTGGAGTGCAGTGGCGCGATCTCGGCTCATGGCAAGCTCTGCCTCCTGGGTTCACACCATTCTCCTGCCTCAGCCTCCCGAGTAGCTGGGACCACAGGCGCCCGCCACCATGCCTGGCTAATTTTTTGTATTTTTAGTAGAGACGGGGTTTCACCATGTTAGCCAGGATGGTCTCGATTTCCTGACCTCGTGATCCACCCGCCTCAGCCTCCCAAAGTGCTGGGATTACAGGCGTGAGCCACCGCGCCCGGCCTATAGAACATTTTATACAGCTATGAAAATAGTATTTTATCTATTTATTTATGCATACTTATATACATACATATATTTTTAGAGATGCAGTCCTGCTATGTTGCCCAGGCTGATCTTGAACTCCTGGCCTCAAGCAATCCTCCTGCCTCAACCTCCAAGTAGTTGGAATTACAGGTGTGAGCCACTATATCTGGCTTAGAATAGTATAATAATGAGCCCCCAGGTACCCATTACCCTGCTTCAGCAATTAGCAACTGAAGTCCAACCTCCTCTCATCTGTACCATGTCACCTCCCCTCCCTCGGATTATTGAGACAAATTCACATCAAACCATTTCACCTGGCAGTATTCCAGCATGAACCTACAAAATATTTAAACACTTAAAAACAGCAATATTATTTTCTCATCTAAAAATACTGACATTTCCTTAATAATATAAAATAGCCAGTCTGTATTCAGATTTATAATTGCCCATAAAATTCATATGTGTTTTATTTTTTCCAGTTTGTTGAGATCAGGATCCAAATAAGTTTCACACTTTGAAACTGGTTGCTACATCAATTAAGGTTACCAAGGAAATTTTAGATCTTTACAGACTTTTTTTTTTTTTTTTTTTTTATGACGGAGTTTCGCTCTTGTTGCCCAGGCTGGAGTACAGTGGCACAATCTCGGCTCACTGCAACCTCCGCTTGCCACTCCTGCCTCAGGCACCCGAGTAGCTGGGATTACAGGCCCCCGCCACCACGCCTAGCTAATTTTTTGTATTTTTTTTAAGTAGAGACGGGGTTTCATCATGTTGGCCAGGCTGGTCTTGAACTTCCAACCTCAGGTGATCCACCCACCTCGGCCTTCCCAAATGCTGGGATTACAAGCATGAGCCACTGCGCTTGGCCCAGACTCTTTTTTTTTTTGTCTTCCTTATAACCACATTACAAAAGTCAACCATGTAGAGACTTTTAAAAAATTATTCTAGAAATTGGGTCAAGGAGCAATTTAACAGATTGTTTGGAATGTAATGAAGTCATCTCATACCATCTAGGAGGATCTGGGTAAATTGAGACGGGGTCTCACTGTGTTGCCCAGGCTGGTCTTGAATTCCTGGGCTCAAGCAGTCTTCCTGCCTTAGCTTCCCAAAGTGTTGGGATTACAGGCGTGAGCCACTGCACCCGGCCTAAAAAAGGTTTTTTAAAGAAAGACAGATGACCATGCCAGGGGTGTCCATTTATAGTGGTGGAAGGGAGTGGCATGGGGCTGTCAGCGTGACCCTCCCAGGTGGGACTGGGCTTGCCCAGCCCCCATGGCCTCATGCTGCCCCGGCTTTCCTCCGCAGGGAACAAGTCAGACCTCAGCGAGCTTCGGGAGGTCTCCTTGGCTGAGGCACAGAGCCTGGCTGAGCACTATGACATCCTGTGTGCCATTGAGACGTCTGCCAAGGACTCGAGCAACGTGGAGGAGGCCTTCCTGAGGGTGGCCACGGAGCTCATCATGCGGCACGGGGGCCCCTTGTTCAGCGAGAAGAGCCCCGACCACATCCAGCTGAACAGCAAGGACATCGGAGAAGGCTGGGGCTGCGGGTGCTGACCAGGGGCCGGGCCGGCAGACTGGGGGTTCCCCACCTCCTTGCTCTCCCCAGCCTGCCAAGCCCAGCCCTCCAGAGCCAGCCCTCCTGGGTACCGGCAACTACAGCAGCCGGGTGAAGCTCTGGAGCTCTGCATCCTGTGGCCTGGCTGCGGGATGGAGGCTCTCCTTGAGGAAGGGGAAGCAGGATACCCTGGCGGGCCACCCTGCCAGCCAGCAGCTGGCCCTCCACCATCTTCACATTCCAAGACTGGCCTGAACCCGCCGGTGTGGGCCACAGTAGGAGGGGCCAGCAGTCCTCCCTGTCCCATGCCTGCTGGCTCTGACCGTTTCCTCTCATGGGTTTGCTTTACCTGTGGCAGCAGGTTGCTGCTTTCCAGGGATGTGTCCAGTGCCCTGGGTTCTTCCCGGTCATCCTGGGGCTCTGCACAGAGCAGCAGAGCTAGAGCCATGAGACCCACAGACTTGGTGCCTGAGCGCAGCTCCAGGGAAGCCCCAGCCCCTTCCAGGCGGGGAACCTGCTTCCTGCCTTCACTGCCCCCGCAGCACTCACAGACATCTCCCTGGGGTCTGGCTCACTGCCTTATCAGGACCTCTGAGTTTTCTGACTTTCTGTGTAGCTTCTCATTTTCATCAGCACAGCATGGGGTCACGGCCCACAGCTAGGTGGGGTCACGGCCCACAGCTAGGTGGGGACTGTCTGCTGGCTCAGGGCCCAGTGTTTTGCCACTCAGGTTGCAAAATTAGCTAATCCTTCAGTGCCAGCACTCAGAAGTCTGGCAGGTGGGGGAATGAGATGAGAAAGTGGACATTTAAGGTCCAAGTAGAAGCTTGCATCCTTGAGGCTCAGGGATGAGAGGGCACCGCAAGGCACCCAGCCTTACCCCACAAGCAGGAATCCTGCCAGCCGAGCGTGGGTCCCAGTCTATGGAATCGAGTCTCCCAGACAAAAAAGGAGAGGCCCTGGCGGTCCTTGGCCTGGCCCATTTTATTCCCTGGACCCTTAACTGCCTCACCCTGAGCTGGGCACCAAGGTTAGAAGGCAAAAGTGGGGTAGGGGGATGTGGGAAGCAGCATTGTCCTCTGGGCATGTGGCTCAGAGGTATCACAGTGACAAAAGAGCCAGGGCTAGGGCTGGAGGGGCCAGGTGATCTTCCTTAGCCAATCCCAGTCCGTCTGTGTCAGCCCAGCTCTGCCTCGCAGCCCCCTCAGCATGGGTGCCCCCAGAAGTAAGCAGCTCTTGGACCCACGAGCAGGGCTGCGTCGGTTTGTGGTCTAGCTCCCAGGGGCAGGCCAGGCATGGCTCAGTGCAGTCCCTGGGCCAGTGAGAGGCCTCCCCCATGCCTCCCTGCCCTCTGCACTAAGCACTTTCCAGGCAGGCCTGGCCATAGGGCAAGAGCAGGCCTTACAGCAGTGCCACGGTGACCCAAGAGGCAGGGTTGGGGCCTGGACAGGGTTTCCTCTGCTGAGACTGAGACAAGCAGGGCTTGATGCTGGTGGTGGAGCCAGCATCTCACCTGCCAGGCTTCCTTTTGGGCAGGGAGGCTACCTGTGGAATGGCTGAGCCTGGTTCTGCAGGGGAGGAAGGCTGCCAGGAGCTGAGGGGCTAGCACCTGCATTGAGGGGAGTCTGGGTGCATCAGATTGGGGGGCGCCAGAGGCGAGGCTGCCTGGCTCCCTTTCTCAGCAGCTTTGCTTGTGGCAGGGGTGAGAGTGGAGCTGAGTGGGGTCTGGGCTCTGCCCCTGCGCCTCCACTGCAGTGCCTGGGCTCCCCTTGCAGGGCAGACAGTGCCTGGCACTGAGGGGTGCCCCCAGACCCCGCTGGGACTGGATGTGCCGTGGGCAGTGCCTTCCTCCAGCCTCACAACCTTTCTGCTGGGGCTGAAGTTTCTGGGGTCACATGGTCAGAAGGGGCTGAGCTGGTCTTTCACTGCAGGCCCACTCTGAAAGAGAAATCCCATGAAGCCTGTCCTTGCAGAGCCCCTCTGTTTTTGGGGGAACAGGGAGCATTCACAGGGTCTTGGGAACAAAGGCCTGGGCCTCCCCGTTTGAATTTCAGCCCCAGTTCCAGGGCAAGTCCCAGCCACCCAAGCATACTTACCAGTACTGCCCACCACCACCCACTGCCCACCTCTAAGAAGCCCGGCTCTCCTACTCTGCTTCCAGGCTGGGGCCTCACAGGTGGGGCTGTTACCTTCCTCAGGGCTTAGGGAGGGAGGGAGGACATGGACAGGGCCTTCCACCCTGGCTCCTTCACAGGGATGGTAGCTGACCGGTGATGGGTTCATTTGTCACCTTGGACTGTGAGCCACTTCCACTTCTCGCCCCCCAGGCAGGAGCACCCTCACTCCAAGGGCTTGGCCTGGAAAGGCAGGCTCACCTGGGACTCAACGTTCCTTCCCCCGCCGCCACTGTGCCCCCCGTCCCTCCACCCCAGAAGCCCTGACCTCATTTGGGCACCTTGCTGTCCTCTGGGCTTCTCCTCTGCCCAGGTCACCCTGTGGCAGGCCTGGGCCCTCAGGATGTTTCAAAGGCTCCACAGCTCCACCGCTCCACCTGGCTTCACTCCAGCACCCTGTCCCTGGAGCACCTCTGTCCTGTCTGGGCCAACCTGGTCTCCCTGCCCCATGCCCTCCCCTGGCTCTTAGCAACCTGCCCTTTTATTCATGCCATTTGGGGTCACAGATGCCTAGCTGGACACAGCTCCCAGAACTGGCTCCACCCTGGGGCCTTGCCCCTAGTACCCCCTGGCAGGAGCAACCCACCCCATGGTCGAGGTTCCCCTACCCCTGGATCCTGGACTGAAGCCATTTCCTACAGAGAAGCGTTCCCACCCCCTCTCAGGCACAAAAGCCGGTGTCCAGGGACTCAAGACCTGTACCTGGGGTTGCAGGGGCTCCTGCCCTGCTGTATCCCACCAGGAGGGGGCCCCACTGCCCTTCCGGCCCTTAAAACTGGGCTGGGAGAGAAGACGGGGAAGTGTGTGAGACAAAACAAAGCCGGCTTGTTTCCTCCCCTTGGCAGGCTAAGCTCTCCCGGCAGCCCGGGCTCTGGGGCGGAAGGAGAACAGTGTCATCTCTTCCTTTGTTGATAAATTGCCAAAGAGTGGGAACAGGTGGGGTCAGGGGCCAGAGTGCAGGGGAGGGGGCAATGGTGGAGGTGGCGGGGGGAAGCAGAGGGAGGTGGGCTGAGGCCTCGGTGGGGCCAGTGCGACGCTGGCTTAAGGAGCTGGAGGGGTTCCTAATACACATTTAATTCAGTTTCTCTTCCCTAAGAGGCTGCCGGAGTTGGGGCCTCCTCCAGCAGAGACCCTCGGACCCCTGCAGGGCCTGGACTTGGGGTGAACAGGGCTTCAGTCAGCGCAAGTATTCCATTTGCATTTGGTAATTTTTCATGCCACCTATTTATGAATATATAAATCTTTATACCAAATCTATTTTTTAAAACATGGAAAAGTTGCCTTTATGGAAACTTGGCAGAGCCAGAGTGTACACATTCCTAAACCATTAAACAGATTTCTATAACAAGCCACTGCGCCCAGGACTGGTTCTCTGATCTTTGAGCCCAGAGGCGGCCCAGGTGGCCACGTGCCTCAACTAGTCTCCAGGCCCGGGGTGGTAGACAAGCTGCCCCCTGCCAGTCTGCCACCCAGAGCACTGTGAGACCTTCCCTCTGTCCCTAAACCCTTGGGGGACCCCCCTGAGCAAGAAGCAGTTGGTGCCTGAGGGGCAGAGGAAGCTTGGGCTGGGTCCCTTCTCTGGGACACCCCAGGTTCCTCCCATTGGGTTTGTGTTGGAGAGGGCTCTTTGGTGATTGGCAGGGGCACCCTCACCCCGACCTCCCCATGAGGGAAGCGTCACTCTCCTGAGCACACAGGCCTGGATGAGGAATCCCTTGCCCGGGTCTTGTAGCCACATTGATCCCACAGTGGCAGGAACAACCCACCCCATGGTCGAGGTTCCCCCCACCCCTGGATCCTGGGCTGAAGACATTTCCTACAGAGAAGTGTTCTCACCCCCTCTCAGACACAAACGCCAGTGTCCAGGGGCTCAGGGCCTGTGCCTGGGCTTTGGGGGGCTCTGACCTGTTGTTATTCCGAGTTA
The DNA here is from genome assembly GCF_000001405.40 of Homo sapiens. NCBI lineage: Eukaryota > Metazoa > Chordata > Mammalia > Primates > Hominidae > Homo > Homo sapiens. The sequence continues at coordinate 129,086,996 of NC_000003.12, read as the reverse complement.
GGACTTAAGAACACCATGAGGGGCTCTTGCTTCTGTGATGTGACCAGCACAGAGATGTTACCAGGCACACAGTAGATGCTCAGCTTAGAGAAGTGCCTGAATCAGGTCTCTGGCACTGGGAAGCCCATGAAATCCATAGCCTGCCCACCAATATAATCAGGGGTCTATTCCTGGTCACTCAAATAAGGGGTTTTCTGCCGAAAGGGACTCTTAAACAGCAGGGCTGCTGGTTGGTCACCCTGAGGAAGAAGAGGGGGGCCTAGCAGTGCTGCACCACCTTGCCAAGCCTGAGACAAACTGACATGATGGGGCTCATAGCAGCCTGCCGTTGAAACCTAGGTGTGCCCTGACTGTCCTGTGGTTCTGGGCAGGTCACTTCTCCTCTCTGGGCCTTGGTTTCCTCAAACCTGGGATCCTATTCCCTGTCCCATTTGCATCCCGGGGAGCCCTGAAGAGACCCCAGGAGGGGAGTGCTTTATGCACTGAAGGCCTGGAACAGGGCACTGGAGGAGGAAGACCCAGAGCCCTGGCTCTCAAGACAGGCCTGGCTCCAGGCACCTGCCATCCTTCCCAGGGAGAAGGAAGGCCTGATGTCTGAACTCCCTCTTCTCTTCTGAATGCCAGGAAGCACCAGAGTGCGCGTGTGCCCCTTGTAAGTCAAACCCATAACCAGGCCTGTCTGAGCCCGGCCATCCGCACGCTCCCAAGAGGCTCAGACCTGGGTCAGTCTGTCCCTAGGGCCCTCTGAGGCCTCTACCCAAACAACAGGACTGCCCAGACCCCAGAGCAAACAGACAGCACAGGTCCACTCCTTGACTTCAAAGTATGGAAGCTGAGACTGGATCCCAGAGAGTCTTGCTCAAAGCCCCACGATGTTCACTTCTGAGCCCCCACCTGCACGCCCAAGCTGGGTGCTGGGTCCCAGAGGTGAGTCTGCCTTGCTGCCTCCAAGGGCTCCCAAAGCTCCAACCTGGACCCCACTCCTCCCTGCACACATTTGCCGCTGGGATTGGCCAGCCCCGCCCTCAGGGAAGCCAGGAGGCAGGGGGGCCCCTTCCCTGTCCTCACCTTCACCCTGGCTACTCCCATCCCCACCCAGCCCACCCACCTCCTGCCTGGGCCTCTGCCCCAGCCTCTTCCTGACCTGGTCCTGCCTGGGCATCTCCTTGTGGCTGCAGAGAGCATCCTCAAGCAAGACCCCTAGCCACAAGGTCCCGACTCCCTCACTCAAGACCTCTTCCACGGTCCTTGTGGCCCTCGGGCTCCTTAGAGAGGGCCCAGCATTGGCCACTCTCCCCTGACCTGGCCACACACAGCCACACGCTGCTCTGCCACCCCCAGTCTGAGCTGCTCCCCGCAGACCGACCATCTCAGGCCTCCTGTGGTGTAATGGGCTTCTCCAAGCCAAGAGTTCCTGTTCCCAAACATCCTGAGCTGGAGCCCCAGGCCCCAGGAACAGCCATCTGGCCCTGACCCTGAGCTCCCAGACACTCCTATGACCCTGCAGAGGGCAGGAGGCCAGGCCCCATCTTGCCCAGGGGTTGCAGCCGCTGACCATGGTTCCCCACTGGAGGGCTAAGTCCCAGCTCAGAGAAAGCTGTGGACTCAGCTCGTGTCCACTGTGTGCTTTCAGCGGGCCACGGTGCGGCCCACTGCAAGCAACCCTGTCTACAGCTCTGGCTACGGAGGCCGTGGTGGGTCGGGCTCATCCCCACCTAGGCTCCTGGGATCTGGTCCTGTCCTTGCCACACTTGGGCAAGGAGGTTTCCCTTTCATATCAGATTTTAAAAGATTTGTTTCGGCTGGGTGAGGTGGCTCACCCCTGTAATCCCAGCACTTTGGGAGGCCGAGGTGGGCGGATCACAAGGTCAGGAGATTGAGACCATCCTGGCTAACACGGTGAAACCCCGTCTCTACTAAAAACACAAAAAATTAGCTGGGCGTGGTGGCAGGCGCCTGTAGTCCCAGCTACTCGGGAGGCTGAGGCAGGAGAATGGCGTGAACCCGGGAGGCGGAGCTTGCAGTGAGCCAAGATGGCGCCACTGCACTCCAGCCCGGGCGACAGAGTGAGACTCTCTCAAAAAAAAAAAAAAAAAAAAAGATTTGTTTCTTAGCACAACAGTTGGGTCTGCTGTATTCTGGCCCTTCACTCTGCCAGGAAGCTCCACAGTCTGTGCTGGTTGGTGGCAAGCAGGAGAGGTGTGGCCCATTGAGAAGCCAGCACATGGCAGAGGAGGCCGGGAGAGGGAAGAGTGTGGCCAGGTGGCCCCGAGGGAGCTCCCTGGAGCCGGGTGAGTAGGGCCTGTCTGCTCCTGCCTTGCTCCACTTGTGGTCCGTGGGCCAGCAGCGTGGGTATCACCTAGGAGCCTATACAAAAATGCAGAACCTCAGCCTCTACCCCAGACCTCCTGAGTCAGAATCTGAATTTTAAGAAGATCCCCAGGGGGATCCTCATTGTGTGCACATGACCGAGGAACTCTGGTCAACACAGCCTGCTCACTGCACAAGCATGGCCCAGGGTCAGGCCCTGACATCCTAGAATTTTTGGTTTCTTCCATTGGCCTGAAGGATGTTATCCATTTATGTCTTGGTCAAGTGTCTTTTCCTTCCTTTCTACAAGTGCCAACTTCATCTGCAGACTTCAAGGTCAACGGGCTCACAGCGGCTGGGCGCAGTGGCTCACGCCTGTAATCCCAGCACTTTGGAAGGCTGAGGCGGGCAGATCACGAGGTCAGGAGATCGAGACCATCCTGGCTAACATGGTGAAACCCCGTCTCTACTAAAAAAAAAAATACAAAAAAATTAGCCAGGCCTGGTGACGGGCACCTGTAGTCCCAGCTACTTGGGAGGCTGAGGCAAGAGAATGGCATAAATCCGGGGGACGGAGCTTGCAGTGAGCCGAGATCGTACCACTGCACTTTAGCCTTGGTGACAGAGCGAGACTCCGTCTCAAAAAAAAAAAAAAGGCTCATGGCTTGCTCCTCAGCAAGGCTCAGACTCCATCCCATAGCCAGAGACAGCGCCATGAATGGAGTCAGCCATGAATGGAGTCAGCAGGACCCCTGCATCACCCTGACACCCAGACACTCTCCCCAGGGCACTTTCATCATCGAAGCGCTACTCTGCCTGGAAACATGCAAGCTTGTCATCCCTAATCATGTTTTTGTTGTTGTTGTTGATTTTCTTCATGTTACCTTGTCTAAGGCCTAATATGGTCCTTGATCTCTTCTTGATCCTTGACCAACTTGACGCTGTAGACTCTCTGGGCAGAAAAGACATAAATTCACATATAGATGCCAAATATGGTGCATTGTCAGGTGTGAGTAGATGTACGGCTGAAGGCTGCTCAATTTCCACGTCTAGAATCTTCAAACTTCTATCAGATCGGCGGCTACAGCCACCCAAGGTGATGGGGGCTGGTATTTATTGCGAGGTTTCTGTAAACTTGTATTGTTCTCAGCATTGTACAAGAATTCATAAGACAGTTTAGGTGCTTTGCCTCAAATTGCACATCTAGTCAGTGGCAGAGGTAAGATTAGAACCCTGTGCATCTGGGCTCCAGGGACTGGGCCTTAACCCTGGAAATCCTGAGAGTGGACATTGGGTATTTGAGGGTGAGACGGTGGCTGCAGCGACAGCTACCACATAATCAGGATTAGATTCAACAACATGGACATAATTCTAAATGAACATTTCTGAAAATAACACCCCTTATAGGGATCTCCCTGAAGGAAATTTTTTTTTTTTTGAAACAGGGTCTAGCTCTGTCACCCAAACTGGAGTGCAGTGGCACCATCTCAGCTCACTGCCACCTCCGCCTCCCGGGATCAAGCCATCCTCCCACCTCAGCCTCCCGAGTAGCTGGGGCCACAGGTGTGCGCCACCACACCTGGCTAATTTTTATATTTTCTGTAGAGATGGGGTCTTGCTATGTTGCCCAGGCTGGTCTTGAACTCCAGGGCTCGAGTGATCCTTTCACCTCAGTCTCCCACAGTGCTGGGTTCCAGCCATGAGCCACTGGGCCTGGTCTAAACTTTACAGTTTTCTGTAAGAAGTATATATTATGTTAGCTCTGAAAGAAACTCTGAAAGAGTCATGAAAACAATATAACATTTAAAAATGCTTATGATGCAGTATTCACTGAACGACTCAGAACACCAAAATATAGAAATTTGAAATGTTATGACTGATGTAAAAACTAGAGTCTGGGCCTGGCGTGGTGGCTCATGCCTGTAATCCCAGCACTTTGGGAGGCCGAGGCAGGTGGATCACCTGAGGTCAGGAGTTCGAGACCAGTCTGACCAACATGGTGAAACCCCGTCTCTACTAAAAATACAAAATTAGCTGGTGTGGTGGCGGGTGGCTATAATCCCCGCTACTTGGGAGGCTGAGGCAGGAGAATTGCTTGAATCCAGGAGGCAGATTTTGCAGTGAGCCTAAATCGTGCCACTGCACTCCAGCCTGGGCAACAGAGTAAGACTCCATTTCAAAAAACAAACAAAAAAAAAAAACTAGAGTCTGGATATGAGACGGTTAAGGGACCCTTAAGGTGGTTAAAGGACCCTTAATGTGGTTAAGGTAAGGAGGATTTAAACCCCAACAGGCAGAAACTTTCTTCCCTTTCTTCTTTCTCTCCTCTTCCTCTTCCTCCTCTCTTTTCTTCTCCTCCTCCCACCTTCCTCCTTCCTGGGCGGGGTGTGGGTCATCGTGGCTTTCTACATGTCCACTGAAGCTGTTACCTGTGTGATGCCAGTGAGCCCGCTGGACTCTGGCCGCTGAGTCCTTTCCAGATGGCACCGAGTCCCTGGATGAGACCCTCGAGTCCCGCACACCCCTCTGCTTCCTGGCACATGTCATACATTCTCCGCTGCAGACCTGGAGTCAGTCATTACTCCAAGGAGCCCTTGAGGGTTGTGTTGTTCTTAAAACAAACTTCTAAGTTCTCTCCTGTTCTTTGCCTGGCGTTCCTTTCTCCTGTTGTTTTAAACATTGTCTTCCATGTGAGGGCTGTTCCTCAGGTCTGGGGATTCCTGGAAGCCTGAGTGCCCAGATAGGGCTTATCAATGGGTGGACTTCTCCCTGTTGGGTGATTTTGGGCCCAGCTGCTCTTCCACTGGGGAGGGGTCCCCTAATGTCTGTAGCCAGAGAGAAGAGATCTTTTCCCTGAAGCATTTCCATTTCTCTAGCACAGGATCTTCTAATCTCCTTCCTGGGGGTGGTGGGGATGGGAGAAACCCCATTGCGTGCGCCGGGTAGCCAGTCAGGAAGGAAGCCAGGGTCCTGCGGCAGGAACTGTGGACGTTCCCGTCTATTTTTGGCCCTGTACCAAATTTTTGCCCTCCACTCTGCCTGCTTTCCCAAGGCTGGGGTTCTCTTTTCAATTTCTTAAAAAATGAACCCCTGCCCCTCAAATTTCCATTTGGACGGGGTGAAGCGGTGGTCCCTAGATGCAGAAATCAGGGAGGGGCCTGAGGGTTACAAATGCTGGGAGCTAGACTTCCAGGCAAGCCCTGATTTTCAGGCCTCTCTCGTGATCTGTGGCGATCCGCAGCATCTGAGTGCTGACCCCTGGGGATCCTGGGGGCACAGTGGCTGCTTCTCCTCAGGTTTCCCCCTGCCAGCCACACTGTGATCTGTGGAAGTGGCCACTGCCTCCATCCACTCTCCGCTCCACAGAAGCATGTTGGCCTCTCTTCCCCACAGTCACCTCCCCTCATTCCCTTTGTCCTTGTGGATTTATCCCTTTTTAAAAATAGGCCAGATGCGATGGCTCATGCCTGTAATCCCAGCACTTTGGAAGGCCAAGGTGGGCAGGTCACCTGAAGTCAGGAGTTCGAGACCAGCCTGGCCAACACGGTGAAACCCTGACTCTACTAGAAATACAGAAATTAGCCAGGCATGGTGGTGCACAGCTGTAATCCTAGCTACTCGGGGGACTAAGGCAGGAGAATCGCTTGAACCTGGGAATCAGAGGTTGCAGTGAGCCCAGATCGTGCCACTGCACTCTAGCCTGGGTGACAGAATGAGACTGTGTCTCAAAAATAAATAAATAAATAAATAGAAATTAAATTGAATTAAATTTAAAAAATAAAAATAACTGCCAAGGAATTCTGGTGGGGTGTGGGTAGGGAGAGGAGACCCCCTCTCCCCCATGTGGTCAATATGCCAAGTGTAGCTGGAAGCCTGGGGCAGGCTCCAGAGGCGTCCCCACAGCACAAGTTGTCTGTGATGGTTGTCTCTTGTGACAGTTGACCATATGAATTGGGTCACTCTTGTCACACCCAAATAAAACAGAGTCCAGAGGTGGGGGGCAGGAGGGTGGCACATAACACAGCTCCAGGAATGTCATTCTCTGCAGCCTGGCTGCTGAGGCTGTCTGCTCCAACCTGAAACCAGTTTTTTGTTTTGTTTTGTTTTTTTGAGATGGAGTTTTTGCTCTTGTTGCCCAGGCTGGAGCGCAACGGCGCGACCTCAGCTCACTGCAACCTCCGTCTCCTGGGTTCAAGCAATTCTCCTGCCTCAGCCACCTAAGTAGCTGGGAGATTACAGGCATGAGCCACCACGCCCGCCTAATTTTTTGTATTTAGTAGAGATGGGGTTTCACCATGTTAGTCAGGCTGGTCTTGAACTCCTGACCTCAGGTGATCCATCCGCCTTGGCCTCCCAAAGTGCTGGGATTACAGGCGTGAGCCACCACACTCAGCCAAAGCCAGTCTTATCTGATAGGTACTGATACCACCCGTTGCAACTCTAAGATGAGTTTCACTGGCTGTCACTCACCAGTCAGAGCTGGCCAGCGTCCCCAGATTTTACTGGTGCCAATGAACTTTCTGAAAAACAGTATGTACCATTTCTCCTTTTTATAACACCTCCAACCTCCTCTTTGTTCTTCAGACATATTGAAGACCACTTACTTGGTCTGTGTGTAAGACCCAAATCGCTTCCCACATAAAATGTTAAATTTAGAGATTTGTCTCTATATTTTAATCCTTGATTTTTACACTCTGGAAGATGCTCTTCTGGCTATACCCAGCCTTCTGCTGAAATCGCTCATGAGGCCTTTCAGGTGGTGTCAGCCTCATCTCTTCCTTTGTTAAGTTCCTCAGAAAGAAATTTGCCAAGATATTCATAGGATGAACTGAATTTAGAGTTCATCTGGGAGACTTGAATCTTGCTATCATGAATGGGTACATTTTTTGTTTATTCAAACCTTCTTTCTGTTCTCAACAATATTTTGCTATCATTGTTTTTTAACAAACCAAATTTAAAAAACTTCTTTTAGAGATGGAGTCTCACTGTGTCACCCAGGCCGCTCTCAAACTCCTGGCCTCAAGAGATCCTCCCGCCTCAGCCTCCCAAAGTGCTGGGATTACAGGCATGAGCCACCGCACCTGGCCAATTCAACTTTCTAAACTCAATGGAAGGAATGATTCTTCAGGTTATGATGGGAGTCCATGGAGCTTTTCCGAAGTGGAGGACATCAGGTGAAGAGTGTATTCCAGGCTCTGGCCTTGGTTGTATTGACTGACAGGTAGGTACAAACCCAGCAGGCTGGGTGAACCGCAGAGCCTGCCTTCCCTTTTTATTATGGAATCTTTGTAAACAGAAAGCCTCAAAGTTGCCTCCCATCCCCTCCCCTCCTGTCCCCTCCCCTCCCCTGCCCTCCCCTCCCTTCCTTTCCCTTCTCTCTTTTCTCTTCTCTTTTCTTTTTCTTTTCTTTTTTTGAGACAGGATCTCACTCTCTTGCTCAGGCTGGAGTGCAGTGGTGCAATCTTGGCTCTCAGCAACCTTCGCCTCCCGGGTTCAAGCGATTCTCCTGCCTCAGCCTCCTGAGTAGGTGGGACTACAAGTGTGCACCACCATGCCCAGCTAATTTTTGGATTTTTTTGTAGAGATGAGGTTTTGTGTTGTTGCCCAGGCTGGTCTTGAACTCCTGACCTCAAGTGATCCACCGGCCTTGGCCTCTCAAAGTGCTGGGATTACAGGCATGAGTCACTGCACTAGGCCTCAAAGTTGTTTTCTAATTAGCAGGGATACAAAGACCCCAAATAGCAGCATAAAATTCTATCTATATCCCTATAAAAGTCTGAACAAAAACAGAATAGGATAGGATATCTGTGCGGTTGCACTGACGCCCTGAGGTGCTGCCTGGCTCCAGTCTTTGCTTCCCACCCCACGGGAAGGGGAAAGGGAGGACCAGTCACCCCTTTCCTTAAGGGCATGGCCCGAAGCACCTGCCTGCATCGCCTTGGCTAGGACTTGGTCACGTGGGCGCAGCTCACTGAGGGCATCTGGGAAATGTCTCTATTCTGCACGGCCCTGTGCCTGGCTAAAATTCCATTCCTGTGGAAGAAGGGGAGTACAATTCAGAGGCCAAGCAAGCAATCCTTGCCACATTGAGTGATCCCTGCCCAGCTTGAAGGGGTGGCTGGAAAAGGCCTGGTGCTTTGGGTTAACTAAAGATGCCTTTCAGTTCCATCTCCCTCAAATGCAGCTGTGTTGCCTTTGGAGCCTTTCTTCCTCTGACCATAAGTTTTCTCATTTGAAAAATTGAGGATAATTCTTCCTATCTTGCAGGGTTTTCTGAAGATTAGAAATTATATATATGGCTGAGTGCGGTGGCTCATGCCTGTAATCCCAGCACTTGGGGAGGCTGAGGAAGGAGGGTTGCTTGAGCCCAGGAGTTCAAGACCAGTCAGGGCAACACTGTGAGATCCCATCTCTACCAAAAAAAAAAAAAATTAGCTGGGCATGGTGGCACGTGCCTCTGGTTCCAGCTACTCGGGAGGCTGAGGTGGGAGGATTGCTTGAGTAGGAGAGGTAGAGGCTGCAGTGAGCCATGATTGTGGCACTGCACTCCAGCCTGGGCAACAGAGTAGGAACTTGTCTCAAAAAAAAAAAAAAAAAAGGAAACCAAAGAGGTGTTTCCACTGTAATTAGTACTGCCAAGTATATGATGTTTTTTTTTTTTTTTTTTAGACAAAGTCTTGCTCTTTCACCAAGGCTGGAGTGCAGTGGCGCGATCTCAGCTCACAGCAAGCTCTGCCTCCTGGGTTCAAACGATTCTCCTGTCTCAGCCTCCCAAGTAGCTGGGACCACAGGCGTGCACCACCACACCAAGCTAATTTTTGTATTTTTAGTAGAGATGGAGTTTCACCCTCTTGGCCAGGCTGGTCTCGAACTCCTGACCCTCAAGCCTCCCAAAGAGCTGGGATTACATGAGAGAGCCACTGCACCCGGCCATGCCAAGTATATGATTAAGCAAACAAACATTACAGACTGTGATGGTTATTTTGTGTGCCAACTTTGCTGGGCCCTAGTATTGAGATATGTGGTCAAATATTATTCTGGGTGTTTCTGTGAGGGTGTTTTGGATGAGATTAGCATTTCAACAGTGGACTTTGAGAAAAGCAGATTGCCCTCTGTAATCGGGTGGGCCTCATCCAGTCAGTTGAAGGCCTGAAAAGAACAAAAAGACTGACCTCCCCTGAGCAAGAGGGGATCTGCAGCAACAGCCTTTGGACTTGACCTGTGATTCTGTGTCCCTGGCTCTCCAGACTGCTGGTCCAGCACGCAGGTTTTCGACTTGCCAACCTTCATCATCATGTGAACGAATTCCTTCAACTCTCTCTGTACACGCTTCCTATTGGTCATTTCTCTGGAGAACGCTGACTAATACACGGATGCCAATGTTTATTTTCCAGGGGACATTCAGACACAGGGTCAATTCTTTGCACTCCAGAGTATTTGTAATGATGATTTCTGCCCTGCTGACTTTTTTCCTTTCTTCATCCAGCACTTTAGGGCCAACTTTATTTTAAGTGGGGTGGGGAGAGGAATGAGAAGGAAGAGGGAAAATTCTTGCTATTGAAAATGCATCTGGGGGCCAGGTGAGGTGGCTCACACCTGTAATCCAGCACTTTGGGAGACCAAAGCAGGTGGATCACCCGACGTCAGGAGTTCGAGACCAGCCTGGCCAACCTGGTGAAACCCTGTCTCTACCAAAAGTACAAAAATCAGTCGGGCATGGTGGCAAGTGCCTGTAATCCCAGCTACTCGGGAGGCTGAGGCAGGAGAATCACTTGAACCCGGGAGGCGGAAGTTGCAATGAGCTGAGATCACTCACTGCACTTCAGCGTGGGCAACAGAGCAAGACTCCATCTCAAAAAAAAAAAGAAAAGAAAATGCATCTGGGGCCGAGCATGTTGGGTCATGCCTGTAATCCCAGCACCTTGGGAGGCAAACATGGGTGGATCACTTGAGCCCAGGAGTTCGAGACCAGCGTGGCCAACATGGTGAAACCCCATCTCTACCAAAAATACAAAAATTAGCTGGGTGTGGTGGCGCATACCTGTAGTCCCAGCTACTGAGGAGGCTGAGGCAAGAGAATCGCTTGAACTTGGGAGGCAGAGGTTGCAGTGAACTGAGATTGCTCCACTGCACTCCAGCCTGGGCAACAGAGCAAAACTCTGTCTCAGAAAAACAAACAAACAAAAAACAAAGAAAATGCATCTGAACTTTGACTCTCCAAATGAACTTACTTTATTTTATTTATTTATTTATTTATTTATTTTGAGACAGGGTCTCACTCTGTCATTCAGGCTGGAGTGCAATGGTGCAATCTTGATTCACTGCAACCTCCCTCCGCCTCGTGCCTCAGCCTCTCGAGTAGCTGGGATTTCAGGTGTGTGCCACCACGCCCAGCTGGTTTTTGTATTTTTAGTAGAGACAGGGTTATGCCATGTTGGCCGGGCTGGTTTCCAACTCCTGGCCTCAAGCAATCCACCCACCTTGGCATCCCAAAGTGTTGGGATTACAGGTGTGAGCCACTGCACTTGGCCAAACTTTACTTTTTCCCAAATCAACTTTGGGGATTCTGTCCCAAGAAAACACATCTAGATGTGGAAAAATTTTTATGTACAAAGAATTCAAATACAATGTGCTATGGTTTCCTTTTTTTTTTTTTTCTGACGGAATTTCAGTCTTGTCATCCAGGCTGGAGTGCAATGAATGGTGTGATCTTAGCTCACTGCAACCTCTGCCTCCCAAGTTCAAGCGATTCTCCTGCCTCAACCTCCCAAGTAGCTGGGATTACAGGTGCCCACCACCATGCCTGGCTAATTTTTGTATTTTTAGGAGAGATAGAGAGTTTCACCATGTTGGCCAGGCTAGGCTGGTCTCAAACTTCTGACCTCAGGTGATCCGCCCACCTCGGCCTCCCAAAGTGTTGGGATTACAGGCGTGAGCCACTGCACCTGGCCTGGTTTGCTATTTGACCCCTCCAAATCTCATGTTAAAATGTGATCCCCAATGTTGAAGGTGAGGCCTGGTGGAAGGTGGGTCATGGGAGCGCACCCCTCATGGCTTGGTGCAGTCCTCACACTAATGAGATAATGAGTGAATGCTCACTATGTTAGTTCCCAAGAGACCTGATTTTCAAAAAGAGCTGCCTGGCAACTCCCTCCCCTCTTTCCTGCTCCCTCTCTCACCGTGTGACCCACCAGCTCCCCTTCACCTCCAACATGAGTGAAAGCTTCCCTGAGGTCTCACTAGGAGCAGATGCTGGCGCCAGGCTTCCTGAACAGCCTGCAGAACTGTGAGCCAAATAAACCTCTTTTCTTTATAAATTACCCAGTCTCAGGTATTCCTTTATAGAGACACAAACAAACTAAGACATAATGCCATTTGTGGGGGCAGGGGGGACTTGGAAACAACCTAGATATCCCAGAAAAGGAGTGACATAGAAATGATCTTCATGAAGGATTTGATTGAAGTAGTGATTGGAATTCTACTATTGATTGGAAAATGCCAGTAAGTGAAATAAGCTGAATAGCTGTTTATCATTGCAATTTCACACCCAAACTTAAATGTTCCTCAATAAAAGATGAATTAATAAAAATAAAATGAATGAATACAATAAAATTAAAAATGACTAAGTAGGCCAGGCATGGTGGCTCACGCTTGTAATCACAGCACTTTGGGAAGCCAAGGTGGGTGGATCACTTGAGCTCAGGAGTCCGAGACCAGCCTGGCCAACATGGCAAAATCCTGTCTCTACAAAAATATATTAGCCAGGTATGGTAGCGTGCTCCTGTAGTCCCAGCTTCTCAGGGAGGCTGAGATGGGAGGTTAGCTTGAGCCCAGAAGGTCGAGGTTGCAGTGAGCTGAGATCGCACCACTGCCTCTCAGCCTGGGAGACAGAGTGAGACTCAGTCTCAAAAAAAAAAATTGACTAAGTAGAAACAGATGAACCATGAAAATATGTTCTCAATTACTCTCATAAATAAAATAATCGTAAATATATATTTAAATATATGGGTGTGTATATACACACGTACCCACCCACATATGTATATATACACACACATTTTGGGGAGAAAGCCTGGAAGGATATTCAGTCAAAGTTAGGAAGAAATCTGTCTCTGGAGGGGGCTGGATTTCAATTTCAGGCCTTTTATTATTATTATTATTTTTTTTTTTTTTTTTTTTGAGACGGAGTCTCTCTCTGTCACCCAGGCTGGAGTGCAGTGGCGCCACCTCGGCTCACTGCAAACTCCGCCTCCCGGGTTCACGCCATTCTCCTGCCTCAGCCTCCCGAGTAGCTAGGACTACAGGCGCCCGCCACCACGCCAGGCTAATTTTGTTTATTTTTAGTAGAGACAGGGTTTCACCATGTTAGCCAGGATGGTCTCGATCTCCTGACCTCGTGATCTGCCTGTCTCAGCCTCCCAAAGTGTTGGGATTACATGAGTGAGCCACCGCGCATGGCCTAGGCCTTTTATTATTATTTTTCATGTCTGGTAGGTAATGTGCTGACATCATAACAAGGTTTGAGAAAAGAAGTTCTCACTCACACAAGAATGAGAAAAGCCAATCATCACACTTATAAACTACAAAAGGCTCCTAATTTTTTTGCAGTTTTAGAGAAAAATTTTTGGTTATGATCATGAATTAGTTATATATAGCCAGGAAAATCAATAAAGCTATTTCCATTTTTTAAAGAAGGGAAAAAGTTGGGCTAGATAATTTGTGTGGTTATGATCTCAACTATATACAACTGTTCGGAGAAGGACACCAGAAGGAAATACCGCAATGGCGAGCCCCATTGTTCCCTCCGTGACTTCACGCTGGTGTGTTTACTTTCTAGGAATGTATCTTTTCCAGAGGTAGAAAAGAGAAAAGCTGGGATGCTTAGACTAACTGTGTGTTAATAGTGACTGTCTTTGGCTAAAGGAGCTTACAGAGATTGCTGTATTACTTAAAACAAAATTATTACTATGTATTGTGGTAAAACATACATGGCATGGGCTGGGCATGGTGGCTCAAGCCTGTAATCCCAGCACTTTGGGAGACAAAGGCGGGTGGATCACTTGAGGTCAGGAGTTCAAGACCAGCCTCGTCAATATGGCAAAACCCCATCTCTACTAAAAAAATCCAAAAATTAGCTGGGCAAGGTGGCGCATGCCTGTAATCCCAGCTACTCAGGGGGCAGAAGAATCGCTTGAACCCAGGACGCAGAGGCTGCAGTGAGCCAAGATCGGCCTGGGCGGCAAAGCGAAACCCTGTCTCAAGAATAAACCCCCAAAACAAACCATACATGGCATAGTATTTATGAGAGAACATAGTATTTTGAGAGAAGCACACCTCACTCACACAAGAGCAAGAAAAGCCAATCATCACACTTTTAAACTACAAAAGACTCCTAATTTTCCTAATTTTAAGCATCCATAAAATCCGTAAAGTGGAGAGTGCAGGGACCTTAAGCACATTCACACTGCTGTGCCACCATGAACACCATCCATCTCAGAATGCTTCCGTCTTCCCAAACTGAAACTCTGTCCCCACCAAACTCCCCGTGTGCCCTCTCCTCCAGCCTTGGTGGCCACCACCCACTTTCTGTCTTGGAATGTGACCACTCTAGGGCCCCCAGGCCATATTGGTTCCTCTTCTGGGCATGCTCATAAACTTCTGTCTTGGTGCAACGAAGTTGGGCAAGAGCTGAAGGAGGAGGCTCGGTCCTGACCGAGAGCCTTGCAGGGGTAAAACAGCACCTGCACAGCTGGGTAGGGGTCCAGGCAGTGCTGACCCAGTGTCCATGGGACTCCAGGAAAGAAAGCAGGGCTTTGCCCCCTGCCTAGGAGACGACAGGAGATTTTAACTAAATACATTTTGTAGGTTGGGCGCGGTGGCTCACGCCTGTAATCCCAGCACTTTGGGAGGCCGAGGCAGGTGGATCACGAGGTCAGGAGATCGAGACCATCCTGGCTAACATGGTGAAACCGCGTCTCTACTAAATATACAAAAAATTAGACGGGCGTTGTGGCACATGCCTATAATCCCAGCTACTCGGGAGGCTGAGGCAGAAGAATGGCGTGAACCCAGGAGGCGGAGCTTGCAGTGAGCCGAGATCAAACCACTGCACTCCAGCCTGAGCGACAGAGCGAGACTCCGACTCAAAAAAAAAAAATAAAAATAAATAAATACATACATTTTATGATCATTTTCCTTCCCTGTTATTATAACATGGGAAATCCACAGGGATTTTCTATTTTGCCACCGTTGTATCGGTCTTCTCTTTTCCTTCGGTCTAGGGCAAGCTTGTCCAACATGTGCCCCAGGATGGCTTTGAATGCTGCCCAACACAAATTTGTAAACGTTCTTAAAACATTATGAGGATTTTTGCAATTTTTTTTTAGCTCATCAGCCATCATTAGTGCTAGTGTATTTTTTTTTTCTGTTTATGGTGTGAGATATAAATTAAATTTTATTTTTTCCAACTTGAAAGTCAATTGTATACCTGCCTTTTATTGTATCCTATTTTTAAATTACAATTTCTTTCTTTCTTTTTTTCTTTTTTAGAGACAATCATTCTATCACTCAGGCTGGAGTGCAGTGCTGTGATCATAGCTCACTGCAGCCTCCACCTTTTGGGCTCAAGTGATCCTTCCATCTCAGCTTCTCAAGTAACTGGCACTACAAGTGTGTGCCACCATACCCAGCTAATTTTCTTATTTTTATTTTTTGTAGAGATGGGGTCTTGCTATGTTGCCCAGGCTGGCCTTAAACTCCAGGGCTCAAGCGATCCTCCCTCTTTGGCTCCCCAAAGTGGTGGGATTACAGGCATGAGCCACCACACCCAGCTAAAATTATAATTTCTAATTGTCTAAAAATGCAATAGATTTTTGTGCATCGATCTAATATTAAGTAACATTTTCAAAATCCCCTACTAATTAGTGTTGGTGTATTTTATGTGTGGCCCAAGACAATTCTTCTTCCAATGTGGCGCAGGGAAGCTAAAAGATTGGACACCCCTGGTCTAGCGTAAAATTCCAGAAAGGTTGGTTTCTAGAGCCCAAGTCTGCTCAGCCTGCACCTGCCTGAGACCCCAGACGAGGGGCAGTAGGCCAGCAGGGGTCTGCCCCAAGATCCCTTCCCAAAGGTCAGTGTCTGTGTTGGGGGGTGAGGGTATTGTCAAAAAATAAACCCCCACCAGCTGCTGCCTCCCGTTTGTTTGCTTGGTTTTTACTGCTCCTTGTTGAGCAGGGCTAACTCACAGGCAGAGCGCCCAGAATCGCTGCGCCTATAGCTTTTGAGAAGCCGTGTCTGGTGGAGGACACATTCTGGTCCACTCCAGCGGGCGCCACGCGGTGGTGTCTTAATCACTAAGAAGGTCAAATCCATAGCCTATTTGTCATCCTAGCTTGTTTCCAAGAATCCCTAAAGTTTAAGAATCAAAGACCCCAGGTGGGTGAATAAGGAGGAAGGTAGGGGGCAGAGGCAGAGCACTTGGCCTCAAAGCAGCTGTATTCATCTGAGAACGCCACGCGGCCATCAGGCATCCTTTCTGTGAATTTTGTTTCCATGCTTAATACAGATTTTTTTGGGTTGACCAGCAGTTCCTAAGTTGAGTGCCTGTGAGCAACCATGAGAAGAGGACTTACAAGAGTGGCATCGGGGCCAGACTGCTTGGCTCCAAATCTCACCTCTGCTATTTACCTTTCTGTGCCTCAGTTTCCCCATCTGTAAAATGGAGAGGAGGAAGGTGAGGTGAGAAGGGTGTTCACTGCCCACACCAAGAGGTAGCTCTGAAGCCGGCCCAACTGCCCCACAGAACTGATGTTCATGGTTTCTTTGAATAAACATAGAAATTGATCCTCCCAGTCTTAAAACTTGAGAAAGTTACATTTGTCTTATTTGAGTTCCTCTCTTAGGAAAGCAACTATCAGGCCTCCCAGATAGTGTCAAGGAGTTGAAACTCACCACATCATCTGCACAATGAGAGGCTAGACCTCTCACCCATCATGAGTGCCTAACTGACCACCTGCTTCCTGTTGACCTCCCTAATTCCTGTTTTCCCACACATGGTTACGTTTCTTCTCTGTTATATTACCCCTAGTTTTAGTCCGTCAGGGAGATGGATTTGAGACTGATCTCCCATCTCTGACTACAGCACACAATTAAAGCCTTCTTCCCAGGCGATACTTGTTGTCTTATTGGCTTTCTGTGCAGTGAGCAGCGGGACCTAGACCTAGACCCTGGTGTTGCAGTAACAGTTCTGAGGTTTATACACCTTCCTAAGGGTGAGGGACTTGGTGCAGTGCTTGGTACTTAAATGTCCCCTGCATACGTGACCCCTTGGTGATCTTTTCCTCTCCACAGCTTGCTCCTCATCTGAACAACAAATTCAGAATTTCCCTAAACTAGCTATAAAGGAAAACATTAGAATTCATGACATGGAACGTGGGCACTCAAGCTGACACATGGTGGATGTGCAACAGATAGAAGGGCAGAGCTCACAGCGGGGAGGGCACAGGAGGTGGAAAAACCCACAGGAAGCTTACTCTGAGCCTTCAGGGACCCCGCCAGCAATATGTCCTTGACAGACATAACATTTTTAGTTACTAAAATAGAAGGAAACTTGATAAAACTGTGAGCACCCCATGCCAGCAGAGTGACCACGAGGCTGTTCCATGCTTTCAGGGATGGGGACGTTCTGAGCCCATGAGAAGTCCTCTGGGAATTCACCAGAAGGAAATAATTTGGGGAGGGTGGTTTGCTGGCTGGCGACAGTACTGTCTGTGAAGGCACGAAGAAAACAGGCCCACAGCCTGTGTCCGGAGTTCGTTCTTTCCAGTGGGTTCTTGGTCGTGCTGACTTCAAGAATGAAGCCACAGACCTTGGTGGTGAGTGTTAACAGCTCTTAAAGGTGGCACGGACCCAAAGAGGGAGCAGCAGCAAGATTTACTGTGAAGAGCAAAAGAACAAAGTTTGCAGTGTGGAAGGGGACCCGAGCAGGTTGTCACTGCTGACTGGGGTGGCCAGCTTTTTATTCCCTTATTTGTCCCTGCCCACATCCTGCTGATCGGTCCATTTTACAGAGTGCTGATTGGTCCATTTTACAGAGTGCTGATTGGTGTGTTTACATCCTTTAGCTAGACACAGAGCGCTGATTGGTGCATTTTTACAGAGTGCTGATTGGTGCATTTACAATCCTTTGTTTTTATGGGGTGCTGATTGGTGCATTTACAATCCTTTGTTTTTATGGGGTGCTGATTGGTGCATTTACAATCATTTAGCTAGACCCAGAGCGCTGATGGGTGCGTTTTTACAGAGTGCTGATTGGTGCATTTACAATCCTTTAGCTAGACAGAAAAGTTCTCCAAGTCCCCACTTGACCCAGGAAGTCCAGCTGGCTTCACTTCTCAAACCCACAAGAGGCTAGTGTAGGGTGGTGCCCATGAGCTGCCACAGAGCAAGGACACGAATTTGGGAAATACATATTGCATGTCCTCCTACAGAATGGCAAAACAGCAAAGTTTTAGAGCTTGTTGTGTATCAGAATTCAGACAATGCAAGCCTCAATGCCCAGCCATGGGCTTCTTAGTCTAGAGCAGTGGTTTTCAAACTTTTTGCTCTCAGGACCCATTCTTAAAAATTCTGGAGCACCATAGAGAGCTTTTTATGGGTTATATCTACCAATAGTTACAGTGTGTGAAAATAAGGGGAGACAGTTTAAACATACTTAATGTGTCACTTTGTTTACAATCATAATGATAAAGCTTAAGGATGTTAATGAAAATAAAATACTTTAATAAAAACAAAGCTGGGCATAGTGGTGTGTGCCTGTAGTCCCAGCTACTTCAGAGGCAGAGGTGAGAGGTGACAGCCTGCTGGCAGCCCTCACAGACCTCGCTCGCTCTGGGCGCCTCCTCGGCCTTGGTGCCCACTCTGGCCGCGCTTGAGGAGCCCTTCAGCCCGCCGCTACACTATGGGAGCCCCGGCCAGCCCCTTTCTGGGCTGGCCAAGGCCGGAGCCGGCTCCCTCAGCTTGCGGTGAGGTGTGGAGGGAGAGGCGGGGGCGGGAACCGGGGCTGCGCGCCGCGCTTGCCGGCCAGCGCAAGTTCCGGGTGGGCGTGGGCTCCGCGGCCCCGCTCTCGGAGCCGCGAGTCCGGAGCAGTGAGGGGCTTAGCACCTGGGCCAGCAGCTGCTGTGCTTGATTTCTCGCCGGGCCTTAACTGCCTCCCCGCAGGGCAGGGCCCAGGACCTGCAGCCCGCCATGCCTGAGCCTTCCCTCCTCAACCACTCCCCGCCGGCCCCAGTGGGCTCCTGCGCGGCCCCAGCCTCCCCGTCAAGGGCCGCCCCCTGCTCCAGGGCACCCAGTTCCCATTGACCACCCAAGGGCTGAGGAGTGCGGGCGCACGGCACGGGACTGGCAGGCAGCTCCACCTGGGCCCCCGTGCGGGATCCACTGGGTGAAGCCAGCTGGGCTCCTGAGTCTGGTGGGGACTTGGAGAATCTTTATGTTTAGCTAAGGGATTGTAAATACACCAATCAGCACTCTGTAGCTCAAGGTTTGTAAACACACCAGTCAGCACCCTGTGTCTAGCTCAGGGTTTGTGAATGCCCAATCGACACTCTGTATCTAGCTACTCTGGTGGTGACTTGGAGAACTTTTGTGTCCACACTCTATCTAGCTACTCTGGTGGGGACTTGGAGAACTTTTGTGTCTAGCTCAGGGATTGTAAACCCACCAATCAGCACCCTATCAAAACGGACCAATCAGCTCTCTGTAAAATGGACCAATCAGCAGGATGTGGGTGGGGCCAGATTAGAGAATAAAAGCAGGCTGCCCGAGCCAGCAGTGGCAAACTGGTTTGGTCCGCTTCCACGCTGTTGGAGGTTTGTTCTTTTGCTGTTTGCAATAAATCTTGCTGTTGTTTGCTCTTTGGAGCCACACTACCTTTATGAGCTGTAACACTCACCGCGAAGGTCTGCAGCTTCACTCCTGAGCCAAAGAGACCACGACCTCACCAGAAGGAAGAAACTCCGAACACATCCAAACATCAGAAGGAACAAACTCCAGACGTGCCGCCTTTAAGAACTGTAACACTCACTGCGAGGGTCCGCAGCTTCATTCTTGAAGTCAGTGAGACCAAGAACCCACCAATTCTGGAGACAAGAGGATTGCTTAAGCCCAGAAGTTTGAGTACAGCTTGGGAAACATAGTGAGACCCTGTCTCAAAAAGAATAGATATGTTCCAAAACAAAAGAGTGAGAAGTGTGCCATTCTATATTTTTTGCAAATCTTTTAAACGTCTGGCGTAATAGGAGGTAGCTGGATGCCGTGTCTGTGTCTGCAGACACACTGCTGTGATGTCACAAATCATGTGGCCTCTGGAAAATTCTCTTTTATTTCAAGAGGGATTTTAATTTCAGAAAACCACAGTGGAAAAGGCTGATAATGGCCTACAGTATGAACATAGTTTTGAATATGTGGACCTCTCTAAAAGAGTTTCAGGGAACCTCCTCTCCCCAGCGGTCTCTGGAGCTCTGCTTTGAGGACCAGTGCCCTAGAGAAATAGCCGCACAGGTGCATAGGGCTGCACACGGCAGCTTGTTTGTAAAGGAGAATGCTGGAGCAATTGCGCCAGAGGACACAGAGACCAAGAGAGACTACGCAGCAGCCACGGAGAGAGAAGGGCCTATGTGGCTAACACGCACAGGTGAGAAAAGCCAGTTTCGGAAGAATCCAAAAGTATGATACATTTACATAAAAACCTGCCATAAGACCAGCATATTTTCTGTGGGCATATATGCGTATCGCAGAAGTGGACCACCACCAGAATTGGGGGAGAGATGTACTATTTTAATTTTTTCTAAAAGCAATATATTTAACTGATGGCTGTGCAATTTAATTTGTTTTTTTTTTCTTTTTGAGAGGGAGTCTCACTCTGTGACCATGCTGGAGTGAAGTGGTGTAATCTCAGCTCACTGTAACCTCCACCTCCTGGGTTCAAGTGATTCTTCTGCCTCAGCCTCCCGAGTAGCTGAGATTACAGGTGCGTGCCGCCATGCCAGCTAATTTTTGTATTTTTTGTAGAGACGAGGTTTCGCCAGGTTGGCCTTGAACTCCTGACTTCAGGTGATCCACCTGCCTTTGCCTCCCAAAGTGCTGGGATTACAGGCGCAAGCCACTGCGCCTGGCCTTGCAATTAAATATTAATGAAGGAAGTAATACAGTCTAGCTTTCCTGTCTGAATTTGATCCACTGTTTTAGAGATCCATCCAAGAAAGTAACACTTTCCCAAGATTTTGCGACATTTCTCAAAACCTGGAGTAGAAGTCCTCACTGCTTATTACCCAGAGGATTGAAAATGAGAACTGCAGCCCCAGAGCCGGTTAGAAAGCTAACAATTAGAGGCCCAGGTGCTGCTGAGTCCCAGCGGACTTTCCACACCACCAGTCACCCTCCCAGCATAGGCCGAGCTGAGCCAGGACAGAGCTTCCACCTTCCGCTCACTTCCAGTCCATTTCTAGCCAGTCTGAGTCCCAAAACCTTGAAAATAGGGAAGCCGACAGTGCAGCCTTCAGTCTATGGCCAGAGGCCCGAGAGCCCCTGGCAAGCCACTGATGTAGGCCCAAGAGTCCAAACGCTGAAGAACTTGGAGTCTGACATTTGAGGGCAGGAAGCATCCAGCAGGGGAGAAAGATGAAAGCCGGAAGACTCAGCAAGTGTAGTCCTTCCATATTCTTCTGCCTGCTTTTATTCTAGTGGAGCTGGCAGCGGGTTAGATGGTGCCCATGTAGATTGAGGGTGTGTCTGCCTCTCCCAGTCCTCCGACTCAAATGTTAATCTCTTTTGGTAACACCCTCACAGACACACCCAGGAGCAATAGTTTACATCCTTCAACCCAATCAAGTTGACACTCAATATTAACCATCACAGTCACTGACTGGGATCTGGACAGCAAATGTGCAAGCATGATCTGTGCCCCTCAGGGCTAGCCATGGGCATCGTGCTGTCCTCTTTGTCCTCTGCTCTCCCACTGGCCAGGGGCATGCAGAAGAGGGGAAGGACAGTTTCAGAAGCTGGGGAAGACAGTTTCTAGAAAGACAGACTTGCCACCTGTGCCCAGTGCAGCACTATTAGCTGGCAGGCTTGAGCTCCACTTCCATAATAGGCACCGTAGCATGTTGTCTTGTATGTTGAGAGTGGATTCTGTGTTACAGCAGAGAAGGAGGCCTCCCAGTGAGCAGGTGGCCAGCAGAGAGGCCCGTGATCAGGAAGAGCGGCCGGATGGGTGGGTCAGTGGTTATAGCTGCTGGTAAAATTACCCTACACAGGCTGGGTGCGGTGGCTGCTCACGCCTAGTAGTCCCAGCACTTTGGGAGGCCGAGGCTGGCTAATTGATTGCTTGAGTCCAGGAGTTCAAGATCAGCCTGGGCAACATGGCGAAACCCCTTCCCTACAAAAGCTACAAAAATCAGCCGAGTGTGGAGGTGCATGCCTGTGGTCCCAGCTATTCGGGAGAGGTGGGAGGTAGGAGGATCACTTGAGTCCAGGAGGCTGAGGTTGTAGTGAGCCATGATCGCACCACTGCAGGAGGTCAGTGTGAGGCTGGTGTCAGGGGAGGTGATGTGGATGGCTCTGAGGGAGGGGAGATCGTGTGAATTGCTGGCAGAGTTGCCCGTGCAGGGGTATGTTTGGTCAACCATGCCTGTGGTGGGAGAGGCACTGAGGCTGGGGCTGGTGCTGTTGAATGCTGAAATTTTATCCCTAGTGTGCTTGCATTAGGAGGTGGGGCCTTTGGAAGGTAATTAGGGCCCTTATAAAAGTGCTTGAGGTTGGCCAGGTGCGGTGGCTTTGGGAGGACAAAGCAGGAGGGTTGCTTGAGCCCAGGAGTTTGAGACTAGTTTGGGTAACATGGCGAAACCCTGTCTCTACCAAAAATTAGCTGGGCATGGTGGCGCACGCCTATAGTCCCAGCTACTGGGGAAGTTGAGGCGGGAGGCTGCAGTGAGCCATGATTGCACCACTGCACTCCAGCCTGGGCGACAGAGAAAGACCCTGTCTCAAAAAAAAAAAAAAAAGGAGTGTGTGAGGGAACTGGCTGCCCCTTCTATCCCTTTCGCCCCTTTGGCAATGAGAGGAAGAGGGCCCTCAGCAGACACTGAATGCCAGTGCCTGGATCTTGGACTTCTCAGGCTTCAGAACCATGAGAAATAAATGTTCACTGTTTTTACAGTACCCAGACTGTGGCATTAGGTTGTAGCAGCAAAAACTGGTGAAGGCAGACCGTGACCTTCCAGGGAGTCACCGTCTCCTGGGGTGCTTGTATGACCAGCCATCCACCTTGGGAAATCCCTGCCTGGCTTCAGAGGGCCCTCCACCCTCTCCACCCACAGGGGACTTGTTGCAGCCTGCAGGTTCTTGCTGGACCGAGCAGGACAGGGGCCTGGAATTGCTGGCGGGTACACACGGCCTCAAGAAGGCACTGAAGCAGGGGGATCTGTGTAGCACCCTATGTCGGGGGTTGGGGACTGAAGGGCCTTAGTTCCAGGGTCCCCCACGGGCCTGGAAGCTTTCGAGGGAGCACGTGTGAGAGAGAACAAGCAGGTGACCTAGGCCTGCACCCTCCTCCATGCAGCGGGTTGCAGAACAGCTCCCTCCTTACAGTCTTCCAAAGGGAAACCCGAGAGTCACCCATGGGAGGTGCTGCACGCAAGCCTTGGACACACCTGGTGCCCAAGGAGCAGATGCCAGCTTTTACGATTGTTCTTAGGCAGCCGTGCCACAGCAGAAATCGCAGGCTCAGCCTGATCCAATTGGCTGATGTTCTATTTGTCCTGCCTATGTATTTCCTAAAATTTCTTTTTTTTTTTTTTTTTGTTTTTTGAGACGGAGTTTCGCTCTTGTTGCCCAGGCTAGAGTGCAGTGGCGCGATCTGGGCTCACTGCAACCTCCGCCTCTCGCGTTCAAGCGATTCTCCTGCCTCAGCCTCCCCAGTAGCTGGGATTACAGGCACACACCACCACACCCAGCTAATTTGTTGTATTTTTAGTAGAGACGGGGTTTCACCATGTTAGCCAGGATGGTCTTGAACTTCTGACCTCAGGTGATCCGCCCACCTCGGCCTTCCAGAGTGCTGGGATTACAGGCATGAGCCACCGCGCCCGGCCTTAAAATTTCTTATTTAGTTGCCAACACTTAAAGACTTTAGAGAGTTCATGTAACAATCTAGCCTTCTGACCTCTCTGGAAGAACTGGACGCCTGGCACCTGGGCCCCCATCTCCTCCACATGGTGGCAATCGGCTGAGCCCCTCTGGATGGAACACAGGCTCCCTGGTTTGCCACATTCCCTATCACTTCTTACTGGCCCCCACCTCTGGGTTTGGGGCTCCTGCTCCCACCTGAGCTCTGTGAGTCAGTGCCCTCCAGCTGCACTCTGCACCCGCTTGGGCTACCTGGTGGAATCTTCCGACCCACAGGCCCACCCAGGCTGGTCTGCTGGTTACACATGGAACCCCTCAAGGGGTGGGGTCCTCGTGTAA
Organism: Homo sapiens; assembly: GCF_000001405.40. Classification (NCBI taxonomy): domain Eukaryota; kingdom Metazoa; phylum Chordata; class Mammalia; order Primates; family Hominidae; genus Homo; species Homo sapiens. The sequence goes on along the minus strand of NC_000003.12, from coordinate 129,063,164 downwards.
TTATATTTGGATTTGGCTTGGCCAGTAACAGGCCCATAAATGTTACCTCATGTGGTGGAGAAAAGTTTATGATTTTAACATCTGGCACCAGGATTCCTCAGAGGGGGAGAGTTGCCTTGTTTGAAGGATTTGGTGATCAGGGCTTGGGGTAGGAGGGGGACCCCAGGGTTTGGAGGTGCAGATGTTAGCCCTGTAGGAGCTTGTTTTCCATGAGAAATAGAGAGATTTGTCTTGTTTGTGGAGAAGAGTAGAGAGGAGAAAAAGGAGAGAGAAGACGGAGGAGAGGATGGGGCCAGGTGCGCCCTGGCAGCCTCACAGCCAAGGTGGAGTGGTCAGAGGCCGTGATGGAAAAGGGCCCGCCAAGCCATTTCTGTCGTGGGGATGGAAACCCCTCCTCTCCTCCCTCCAGGGGCCTTTGGGACACCCTGCTCTGCTCACTACCGTGCTGGAAGAGCGAGATTTCTGGGGAATGTGGTGAGGGCTGGCCCCGGTGCAAAGCTGGCCTGGCCTGTCCAGGGTGGCCCACACCAGAAGCAGACGGCTGAGGCCATGAGACCCAGAGTCCCAGGTCCTGGCTTGAGATGTCCAGAGACTGTGCAGTTAAGGGTGAAGGGTGGGGGAGGTGGGCAGCCCATTTTACTAACAACTTGAGAAACAGGGAAGCCCCAACTGATGTCTGGTTATAACAAAATCGAGCCAGGTTTTCAGAAGGAGTCAGACTCAAATGCTGAGAGGGGAAAAAAAAAAAATCTCTGAGCTTATATAAAACAGCTGAGCTGCCAGTTTATTCTGGGCTTCTGGTGGTTTGGGCTGACCAGGCTTGGTGGAGTCTGGGGACCTGCCTCAGGGACTGGCCCCCTGGCCTGGAGCCAGGGGTTCTGGGGGCCTGGCTCAATCCAGGGCCTCTGTGGTGGCACACAGCAGGCCAGCCAGAAGAGCCAGGCCCAGCGCGGCCACGGCGACCAGCGCCACGTCCCACAAGACCCCCGGGCGCACCCAGGACGCCTGCAGCTGCCAGCCACAGCTGCCCAGCTGGTAGCCTGTCAGCCGGCCCAGCGGGCCATGGGCAGCGAGGCTGGGGCTGGCACAGCGGACCTGCAGCAGGGCCTCGGGCGTGCGGTCCTCCAGCCAGAGGCGCAGATAGGTGAGGCTGCAGTCACAGTGCCAGGGGTTCTGCGTCACATCGAGGGTCTGCAGCTGGGGCAGGTGGTCAAAGGCTCCCGGGGGCACGGACTGAAGGCTGTTGTTGGCCAGCAGAAGGTGGCGGGTGCGGGCCGGCAGGGCAGGCAGGGCCGTGAGTCCGTGGCCCCTGCAGTCCACCCACAGCCCCATGGTTTCCAGGGCGCGGCAGGTACATGGGCTGGGGCAGTCCTTGGTGGCCTCTGCTGTGGCCCAGAGCAGGAACAGGGCTCCCCAGGCAGGCATGGGACAGGCTGGCTGCAGAGAGAGGGGCTGTGAGGGAGGGCCTGGCAGCCTGGACCGATCCTCAGGGACGGCAAGCACTGGGGATGTAGCGGAGCCTGACATGGGACGGGGTGCACTCACCTCCCTTCTCGGGTCTCAGCCTTCTCCTCTGGGAAACCAGCTGGTGACTAGGGAAGGTGGAGTGTGCCCAGCCCAGGCCTGGCTAACTGTCTCTGGACACCGTAGAAGGCCGGGCGGTGAGGGCGGCTGTGGATTGGGTAAGTTTGTTTTTGGGAAGGGGAAGGGACTTCCTGGCCCTTAGCAGAGACCCCATCCCCTGCTTGGGGATGAGAGGAGCAGATGGCTGCTAAATGAGTCCCAGCCCAGGACCACAGTCCCCAGAGACTAGGAAAGAGCCTTGGAGGGCCCTGCAGGCTGCGCCCAGCACCCCCCACCAGCTAAGTGAGCTGTTACCTGATTCCCAGATGCAGAAGACAGCAGGACAGGGACACTGGCTGGAGCAGGGAGGGGAACTCAGTGGGACCCCATCTGGAAAACCACTCATCTGGGCTAACACTGACTTGGGGAAACTGAGGCCCAGAGAGGGAAAGCAATGTGCCCAGGGCCACCGGTGTGGTGTCAGAGGCCAGACTCACACTCGGGTCTCGGCAACCGTGGCCCTCTGTTTGGTTCTTCCCCACAGGCGTTTCCCCTCCACCAGCAGAGCTCCCCCTACCCACAGCAGGTTTCCAGTGAATAAGTGTCAAATCAACTCACTCATCTTGACTCAGCCAAGGAGATGGTGTCTCAGAGGGAATGTCCCACCCAACCCTGTCTTGTTAAAGGGACAGGAACTGACCTCCTCTCTCCCTGTGGGAGGCCATGCTGGGTAATACGGAGGGCCACTTACCTGTGAAGCCTTTGGTCAGGTGCTCCTGTCTGGCCTGAAAGGTCCTGGCTGAGGCCTGGGTGGCAACTCTATGGGATACAGCTGAGGTGGCCGCTGCGGGAGCGGGCGGAAGGAAGTGATGAAAATAGCCTGGCTTATCCCCCCAGTGCAGCCTTGGGGCCTATTTCCAGAGGCAGGAGGCCCTCAGGGGCCCGCGCCTTGGGCACAGAACCACATCTCAACCCCGGTTTATAGAAGGGGGTCCCACTGTGCCGCCAGTGCCTTGATGGGCTTTGGAATCAGGTCTGTGGAGGACTGAGGGTGGCCCCTCACCTGCTCCCAGAAGGTGGGAACTAGGAGACCCCTGAGAAACGTGGCTCTGCTGGTTGTTCCTCCGAATCTCAGTTTTCCTCATCTGTAAAGTGGGAGCAGTGACCGGTCCTGCCTGCCTCACAGAGGTGTGGGCTGGGCAGCTCCCACTGGCTGAGAACACCATGGTGGGGAGAGTGACTTCATTTTTAACTCTCCTCCCTCCTCCTGTATACTCAAGGACGGAGTCTCTTCTTGGTGCCATGGTGTTTTTAGCTCCTGCCTAGTGCTTCTCCATGCCTCTTTCTAACAAACAGCTGTAGGCCTGGGAAGCAGAGCCTCTACCAAGTGTGAATCTCTAGCTAGAATTTTGGCCTATGGTTTTAACATTTGCAGTACATTTTCTTCTAGAGCACATTCTACTTAGGGGAGGGACACCATTTTCCATTTATGTTAGTGACATAAAGCTTCCTTTAAAAGATAAATATATTTTGGGATGGAGAATTGCTTGAACCCAGGAGGCAGAGGTGGCAGTGAGCCGAGACCGTGCCATTGCACTCCAGCCTGGGTGACAGAGCGAGACTCCGTCTTAAAAAATAAATAAAACAGGGTAAAAACACAGAAGTTACAGAAGCCTGGCAGGAAAAGCCAAAGACAGAAGGCTGACGGAGGCTTTAAACGCACTTCGTTGACATTCAGGACCCTCGGGAATATTCCTCGGCCCTACGGGGGTGGGGGTGTGCTTGTTCTTATTTTGGTCTCACATCCTTCTCAGGCCAGCCTTCCTCCTCCTGCATGGCCAAGCAGGGTGAGTCCTTCCTTGGGAGGCCGCCTGTTCTCTCCCCGCCTCCTGGTTCTGGATTTGGGTAGGGCAGGATTTGGGTGTTCACCCTCCTAGGAGGCCCTGAGAGGCTGCCAGGCCCCAGCTCTGCTTCCTCCACCCACTGATGCTGGGCTCAGAGAAGGGTGGGGAAGGTGCTGTTCCCCCACTGATGTCACACCTGCTCGGGGGCCTGGTTGCTGCTGGGGGTCCCCTGGTATGTGCTCAGTGGGGACTCTGACCGGAGCCTGGACCATGGAGAGGAGCCTCAGCCTGTCTGGCCCTTCCCTCCCTCCCCATGGAGCCTTGGCATGTTCCACCTCCTCTGCCCTGCACACATTCACCAGTGAGCCCCACGCAGGTGGGTAAGGGGTTCTGGAGTGAGTGGGGGTGCTGGAGCTGCCAGGCCAGGTGTTGTGACCAGATCTGGTGGGGCCTGTGCCCTCCTTCCTCTTGAGCCTCTGAGATTTCCTTATTTTCAGCATGTACAACTTAAAACAAAAAACTAGATCAACATAGATGGGTTTTGTGAATTTAAAAAACTACATAAATAACAAATAAATGATTTTTGTTGTGGGAAATTAGAATGTTCAGATGAACTGGAAGAAGAAAATAAAAATTTCCCTCCATCCCAACATCAGGCAAGGCTTTTTCCCCATGTGTATTTACCCATATGGGTAAATACATACCCATCTGCCCAAGAGGCACAGGATAATGCAGGAAGTGGATCTGTAAACAGCCTGGGTGAGCCTGCAAGTGGATTCTCCCAGAGCCTCCAGAGAGGAATGCAGCCCTGCCAGCAGCTTGATTTCCACCTACAAGTGATGCAGGGCAGGTGAGCCCCCAAATCAGGGCTTTGCCCCTGAGGGCTCTTGGCTTTGGCCAGGAAAGAAGTCAAAGAGCCAGTGGTGAAGAAAGCCGCTTTATTGAAGCAGCAGTGCATAGCAGAGGTGCTGCTCTCTGGGAGCAGGGCTACCCCACAGGCAGTGTGCCCAGAGCAGTAGTGTGTGGGCTTTTGGCAACTGCACTTACAGCCACTATTCATTACATGCAAATTCAGGGGCAGGTTATTTCAAACTTTCTAGAAAAGGGGTGGTGAGTTTCCAGAACCCTGTAACTTTCAGGTTGTTGCCATGGCGTGCTGCCATGGCATTTGTAAACTACCATGGTGCCAGGGGGAGTGTCTATGTTAGTGAGCAGTGAGGGCAACTAGCGGTTGCTTTCGTTCCCATCTGCTGGTTTCTGGTGTCTGCCAGCTTCTTCACTACACCTTGTTTCAACCAGATCCTGCTGCCATCAGCAGGCTGGGGACCGGGGGTCCTGACAGGTGCTCAGAAAACAGGTCCTGCTGATCTACCTCAGGAGGGCTGGAATAAGAGAACCCACAGGAGCTGTGTGATGAAGAATGAGAAAATAAATGTGTGCTGCATTAAGCCTCTTGTGACAGCAGCAATAGGAACCAAGGCGAAGGCCAAGCCCCACTCTTGTGCTGTGAGTTGTCCCCTCTCCATCCTTCCAGGACATTGCCCCATCAGGTGCCCCTTCCTCTGCATGATCAATTTCTCCTTCACTGGGTCATTCCATCAGGTTAGGAGCAGCCAGACCAGGCGCGGTGGCTCACGCCTGCAATCCCAGCACTTTGGGAGGCTGAGGCAGGCAGATCACTTTAGGTCTGCCTAAAGTGGGTTTCGAGACCAGCCTGACCAACATGGAGAAACACCATCTCTACTAAAAATACAAAATTAGCTGGGCGTGGTGGTGTATGCCTGTAATCCCAGCTACTTGGGAGGCTGAGGCAAGAGAATCACTTGAACCCAGGAAGCGGAGGCTGTGGTGAGCTGAGATCGCGCCATTGCACTCCAGGCTGAGCAACAAGAGCAAAACTCCGTCTCAAAAAAAAAAAAAAAAAAAAGAAGCAACCTATAATCCTGCCCTTTTGAAAAATCCTTCCTTAATTCCACCTCTTTCTCCAATTACCATCTGATTTTTCTGCTTCTCTCTTCCATAAAACTCCTCTGAAGAGTCACTTCTACTTGCTGTCCAACCCATCAGTAATTCCTGTCATTTCAGTCACCAGGATCTATTCAGAACTTAACCACTTCTCCCTGTGCTGCTACTGCTCTGGTCTTCGTTCGCCTTCTTGGCTTCCCATCGCAAATAAAAGAAAACCCGTGCCCCTGTGGTCAGGAAGCTACAGGCCCCCCTGTAGCTTGGCCCCTGCCTATTTCTTGACCCCATCACCCACTGTCTACTTTGCTCATCAATGTCCAGCCACACCAATTTTCTTCCTGTTGCTCAAACACTCCAGCACTTTCCTGCCTCAGGGCCTTTGCACTTGCTGTTCCCTCTGCCTGGAGTGCCCTTCCCCCAGAGCCCCACATGGCTTCCTCCTGATCATCATTCTCATCTCAATTCAGATGACCCCTCCTCAAAGGCCTCCCTTGCCAAGGCACAGCTCCATCCTTCTGTACCATAATATTCCATTTCATATCTTCCTTAGCATTGATCAGGATCTGAAATGATCTTATTTTTACATTTTTATGTGTTTATTAAATGTCTCCTCCCATTGATGTGAAACTCAAGAGGGCAGAGACTCTGTCCCATTAACTCTTCCCTCCCCAGCACCTCTGCCTGGCCCATGGGCATTATCTAATACATACTTGTCAGCCTTGCTGGCTGTCTCTTCTCTAGTGCTGGCCTTATCTGTGTCTTGCCAGGACTGCTGTCTCCTTGATGCTGGCCTCTGCCTCTACTATACAGGTTTAATCTCACTACACTCCTGCTCCATGTCTTTCATGGCTCCCTGCTGTCTTCAGGACACCCTCTGCCACCCTGTCCAGCCTCACCTCTCATCTCTTCCTGATCTGAAGCTTCGTGGTAGGCTAGCCATGTCCCTCACTCCCCACCCACATGCCAACTTCTGTCTGTGCTTTTGCCTCTGCACTGCCCTCTTTCTGGAGCCCTGTGGAATTTTGCCTGGCATGCTGCATCCTTTAAGATTCACCGGGGGCATAACTTCTTACGGGAAGCCCTCCTCGACGCACTCACCCAGCCGTTTGCTTATCTGTTTGCAAATGGGCCCAGCAGCTCCTTGGAGAACCTCAGCACCCACTAGGGAAGTGTTCGCAGATCTTGTGACTAAAAGTTGGTTGAGCCTCTCAGGCAATTTCAGGTGATACATGCCTATGACACAAATAACGAGAAACATGAGGGAGACAGCCACTCCTTTCTTGTCCCCTGAGCTGAAGGAAACAGCCTCTGTTTGGTAATCGTATTATGAGGCAAACTGCTTAGGTAAACTTACTTTGGAGGCTGGGATCTTTCAATATCCCCCAAGACAATTTTTCCTTCTCATGGGAAGCAGAGGGGATTAAGAGGCAGTGATTATTAGGTAGCATTTTTAGCCTGTGTGCAACCAACAGGAAATGGGTAACCCTGTCTGCCACTGTTGGACCCCCTTGGAACAGAGCCTCTGCTTGCTGGATCTTTGCAGATGCAGGTCTCCGTCACCCCGGCTGTTCTGAGCCAGCCTGTGGAGCAGCCTGCCTTGCTCTGAAACCTGGTTTTGCTACTTACTTGCTCTGTGACCTTGGGCAATAGTCTTAGCCTATCTCTGCCTCAGTTTCCTCATCTGCAGAATGGGGAAAATCAAAGACCCCACCTCCCAGACTGCTGTGAGGAAAGAGTGAGATAAGCCTGACAGGTGCTTTGCTGGGGGTCTGGCCACAGCAGGCACTGTGGAAGTCATCATGGGCAGGGGCCACTGGCACACTGTCAGGGAAGAAAGGGGGGCCTGACAGCCAGGCGTGATGGCTCACGCCTGTAATCCCAGCACTTTGGGAGGCCGAGGTGGGCGGATCACTTGAGGCCAGGAGTTCAAGACCAGCCTGGCCAACATGATGAAACTGTCTCTCTACTAAAAATACAAAATTTAGCTGGGCGTGGTGTCACGCGCCTGTAATCCCAGCTACTCGGGAGACTGAGGCAGGAGAATCGCTTGAACCTGGGAGGCGCAGGTTGCAGTGAGCCGAGATTGTACCATTGCACTCCAGCCTGGGCAACAGAGCAAGACTCTGTCTTAAAAAAAAAAAAAAGAAAGAAAGAAAGAAAAGAAAGGGGGCCCTCACACCCTTTGACGTACCTTCTCGTGTCTGAGGATTTTTGTCTCTTGTGATTAAAAGGATTAAACACAGTCTAGCTTGGCACAAAGATACCCCTCCCCAGCTGAAAGCCCTAACCATGGGACTTCGACCTGCCTCTCAGCCTTGCTGTCTGGCCCTTCAGCTCAGTGGCTGTATCTGGTCAGAAATGAATGATGATGCTTTATTTGCTATGAACTTATTGTGATGTTAGTTTGTGTGTATGACAGGTGAGACTGGTTTCTCAATTAAATTCGAGCATACAAACTTTCTTTCTTAAAATACATTTATATACATTTAAAAAGAGAACTGATTCTAAGAAAAATATTAAGTGTAAACTAAAAATAAAATTATAAGCCCCTGCCAAACTGAATGGACCCCTTTATGGCCAAGGGGACCCCAGAAAAACTTTAAAACTGAGCTTCCAGCCACGACAGGACAGGAGGTCAGAAGCCTCGTTATACCTCCTCCTTTTTGTGCTTCAGACACAACAACTGACCAGCATTACTGTTAAAATAGAGATAGACAAAATAGAGATAGTAAGACTGACATGACCGACTCTTTGTGGCAAATAAGACGCTAAATTATAAACAGAACCTAAGGCCATGCCAGGCAAGGGTTAAGTCAGTCACCCCACACTTAAAGAATGAACCTGTTCTCACTGCCACAAGGCTTTTCTTTTTCTCTAGCAGCTAAACAAACACTGGCCTTGAGATAAGCAATACTGAAACAATTTGCAGTTCCACCAGATGTGACTAACTGACCCCCAACTCCTGTTCCACCAGCCATAACTGCAAGAGACTGATTTCAATAACTTTCTCCAGATAAGAAGACCACTGACCATGGTCCACCCCAGCCTGTTTACAGAGGTTGCGCACAGAGTGCCTTTGTGTCCTGAAAAGCCTTTTGACATATAGGGCCTAACTGTAATATGTTTATATGTTCAGTCTCCACCCCAGAGCAAACATGGGTCATATATGAATTTGTTAGGAACACCTAAGTGTTTGTTCAATATGAATGTGTTAGGAACACCTTAATGACTACTCTTTTTTTTTGTTTTGAGACGGAGTCTTGTTCTGTTGCCAGGCTGGAGTGCAGTGACGTGATCTTGGCTCACTGCAACCTCTGCCTCCCGGGTTCAAGCGATTCTTCTGTTTCAGCCTCCCAAGTAGCTGGGACTACAGGCGCGTGCCACCACACCCAGCTAATTTTTGTATTTTTAGTAGATGGGGTTTCACCATGTTGGCCAGGTTGGTCTTGAACTCCTGACCTTGTGATCTGCCCACCTCTTCCTCCCAAAGTGCTGGGATTACAGGAGTGAGCCACTGCGCCCGGCCATGACTATTTTTTTCTTTGTTTTTGTGACAGGCTCTCTCACCCAGGCTGGAGTACAGTGACTCAATCTTGGCTCACTGCAGCCTCAACCTCCTGGGTTCAAGTGATCCTCCCACCTCAGCCTCCTAAGTAGCTGGGACCACTGGCACGTACCATTACCCCAGCTAATTTTGTATTTTTGGTAGAGATGGAATCTCACTATGTTGCTCAGACTGGTCTCTAGCTCCTGGGCTCAAACAATCCTCCTGCCTCAGCCTCCCAAAATGCTAGGATTACAGATAGGAGGCACAGTGCCTTTATGAATATTCATAGCTCCTCCTGTAGCCAGTTGAATATGTATGTTTAGCCAGACAGGTCAGCATAAAGCTCCTGCCCCAACCCCTCCTCTTTCAAAGTGCTCGGCCATTGGCACACTTCCCAGCCTGCAGATGGCCACCTTGTAGGCTGGCACCTTTTACAGGAAATAAAGGCTTCTCTTCTTCTAAATGTATACGTGTGTGTGTGTGTGTGTGTGTGTGTGTGTGTGTGTGTGTGTGTGTGTGTTTTAACACAGGTAATAGCACAGATGATGGGAAGATGTGGCAAATACCCACGGCAGGGGCCGTGAGGGGGCAGGGGTTCATTCGGAGAAGTTAAACTTGGACTCCCGGAGCTCATGCTTGGAGGCGCTTTGGAACCGTTTACCATTCATTTTTCCTCTCAGGGACAGCATTTGCCACCCAGTGGAAACAGTGTGAAATTACAGGACATTTTTTGCCGTGGGGAGAGCAAATTAAGGTCAATGGAATGATTTTCTTTTTTTTGCCAGAAGTTGAGAGAGAGGACATTAGTTAGAATTTCCCAGAAAACATTTTTAATGTGTTGCAGGCCATCTGAACAATCCCAAAGAAGCTCTTATAGAAAAAAGGCTAAAGGAGAGTGGAAGATGTGAAGTCTATGCATAAATGTTCGATTCTCCTATTTTTTGAAACCTTGTAGGATGACTGCCCCTCTCCGCCTCTCTATGCATCTAGGCCTGGCTTTGTGGGCATGGGGCTGGGGTAGCTGCAGGGGACTCCCTGCTCAGAAGGGCCCTGTGCCTGGGGTTGTAAGCTCTGTGGCTGCTGTCTTGAAATTCATAACAATTTTATCTTTAAATTTGTATTTTGTAAGGGAAGTCTGATGGGACTGTAGGCATGCATGGGGGACTTGGAGCCTGGGCCACAAGCGGTGCCCCTCCCAGCACCTCCTTGCCTTTTGACTATCTGGGCCCCTGCACCCTATCCCCTCACCCCCACCCCAGGGCCTGAAAAAGTATGCACTCCCCTGACCCCTGTATCTCTGCATCCACGAGTGCCCCTTCAGCTGGCTCCATGCCTGGGAACCCTTGTACTCCTTCCAACCTGCTAGTGATTATTGTCAGGGCTCCAATGGTTACTGGTAAACATACAAGCCTGCCACAGCGCTCCCTGTGACAGCTCAGTGGGTAGCGTGGAGGACTGCGAGAATCTGCCACAGACATATGTGCGTAGCCCCTATGCTCTGATGGAGCATGAGTCTCTGTTAGGAAATTTGTTATTACTGCTCCATGACAAACCATCCCCCAAAACTAGCAGCTTCAAACAATAGCATTTTTAATTTTAATTATTTATTTATTTTAAATTTTTTAGAGACATGGTCTCACTCTGTCACCCAGGTTGGAGTGCAGTGGTGAGATCCTAGCTCACTGCAGCCTGGAACCCTTGGGCTTAAGAGATCCTCCCACCTCAGCCTCCTAGGTAGCTGGGATCACAGGCATGCACTGCCACAGCCAGCTAATTTGTTGTTGTTATTGTTGTTGGAGATGGGGTCTCCGAAGGTTGAGCTGTTCTCAAACTCCTGAGCTCAAGTGATCTTTCTGCCTTAGCCTCTCAAAGCACTAGAATTACAGGTGTGAGCTACCATGCCCAGCTCAACAATGACATTTATTTACTTATTATCTCACTTGTTTCTGTGGGTCAAGAACTTGGGAGTGGCTTAGCTGGGTGGTTCTGGCTGTTGCAGTCAAGATCTCAGCCCAGTGAGACCAGCATCAGAGGACTTGGCCTGGGCTGGAGGAGACGCTTTTGAGATGTGAGTCGTGGCTGTTGGCAGGAGGCCTCAGTTCCTTGCTGGCCATTGACAGGAGACTTCGGTGACTCTCCGTGTGGCTCTCTGCACAGGGCAGCTATCTTTCCCCCAAGCAAGGGATCTGATGGAGAGCAAGGAGGGAGCTGCCAGGCCTCTTATGACCTGGTCTCAGAAGCTGCACCAGCAACTCTGCCACACTCTGTTTATTGGTGAGTCATAAAGTCTATCTAGCTCACTTTCAAAGGGAAAAGTGTTAATGAGCCTTTACGATTTTTTTTTAAGAGACAAGGTTTTGCTCTGTTGCCCACACTGGAGTGCAGTGGTGCAATCATGGCTCACTGTAATCTTGAACTCCTGGGCTCACATGTAGGCTTCCCATCTTGAAGGAGGAGACTTTGTGCATATATCTTAACAGGAAATTTTCAAATTCAAGTAACTGCAAGGCTTCTATCAGAAAATAAAGCTCTAACCTTTACGGAGAGGCATCAATCAAGGGATTAATTAGTTACTAGTAACTAGTAGTCCCTAGGACCCTCAAGTTACAGGAACCTTTTTTTTTTTTTTTTTTTGAGGCAGAGTCTCACTCTGTCACCCAGGCTGGAGTGCAGTGGTGGGATTTTCGCTTACTGCAGCCTCTGTGTTCTGGGTTCAAGTGATTCTCATGCCTCAGCGTCTCAGCCAGCTGGGACTACAGGTGTGCACCATCACACCCAGCTAATTTTTGTAGTTTTAGTAGAGACAGGGTTTCGACATATTGGCCAGGCTGGTCTCGAACTCCTGGCCTCAAGTGATCTGTCTACCTTGGCCTCCTGAAGTGCTGGGATTATAGGCGTGAGCCACCGCTCCCAGCCAGGAACCTTTTAGGTCAGAGTCGTGGCTATTTCTTGGACCCAAATATCAGGGGAGGTTCTTTTTTTGGTGAAGCTTTCTCAGGAATTGTTGGCTTACTCTGTTTCTGGCCAAAGGAGACCCCATGTTTCCCATGGTTGCAGCTCCCTGGGTGCCACCGTTTTGCTCCCTCGAGACATCGTCTCAGACTTCAGCTCAGTGGACAAAGGCATACCTCCATCTTTCTATGAAATTGCACCCTCTTACCCCCTCTCTTTCCGTGGCCTCAGGGCTTGGCACTCAGTACAGGCCCTGCCTGCTGATCTTGGTGCAGCCTTGTCGAGTGGTTTCGAGTGTGGGCTTGGGTGACCCGGGCTGAGCTCTGAGTCCTGGCTCTGCTATTGTGCTGTGTGGCTGTGAGCACGAGTCCTCATCAGTGTCCCCAGCAGTAAAACGTGGATGTGGGAGAAGCCCCATGCCTGGTCTCTGTGAATCACAAATGTTGACGCTGCCTTTGGTCTCCTCATCTGGGTTTTCCTCCAGGGAAGCCCCCTGGTCCTCTGAGGCCCTCATGAACTCTGAGGCTCATGCTGAGCTGACAGCAGCAGGCCGGCTGTGGGCCAGGGCAGGGCATCAGGCAGGTGCTTAGGTCACACCCAACACCAAGGTGCTGAAATTACAGAAGTCTCAGCCTCTCCCCACTGGGCAAAAGGGAAGGCCATCCAGGCTGCAAACCAGTGACGTTCAGAGGGTCCAGGATGCCCCAACACTAGGCTGACTCTGTGCAGAGATAGCTAAGAGGCTGCCTCTATCCATTCTCTAGTTCTTTCTTTTTTTCTTTTTAAATAGGCTTTATTTTGGGTTCACAGCAAAAATTGAGTGGAAAGTCAGTTCCTATACACGCCCTGCCCCCCAACATGCACAGCCTTCCATATCAGTAACATCCCCAGTAGAGTGGGGCATATGTTATTACTGATGAAACTACAAGGACATGCCATTATTGCCCAATGTCCGTAGTTTCTGAGGGCCCACTCTTGGAGTCAGACATTCTATGGGTCGAGACAAATGTCTAATGACACATATCTACCATTATGGTATCATACAGAATAGTGTTGTTGCCCTGAAAAATCTTCTGGGCCCCCTTGTTCATCCTTCCCCATCTCCTAATCCCTGGCAACCACTGATCCTTTTACTGTCTCCATAGTTTTGCCTTTTCCAGAATGTCATACAGTTAGGATCATATAATATTTAGCCTTTAAAGATTAAATTCTTTCACTTAGTAATATGCATTTAAGGTTCCTACATGTCTTTTCATGGCTTGGTAGCTCATTTCTTTTTTTTTTTTTTTGAGATGGAGTTTTGCTCTGTCGCCCAGGCTGGTGTGAAGTGATGTGATCTTGGCTCACTGCAACCTCCACCTGCCCCTCCCCCTGCCCTGCTCTGAGTTCAAGCGATTCTCCTGCCTCAGCCTCCCGAGTAGCTGGGATTATAGGTCCCCACCACCATGCCTGGCTAATTTTTGTATTTTTAGTAGAGACGGGGTTTCACCATGTTGGCGAGGCTGGTCTCGAACTCCTGACCTCAGGTCATCCACTCGCCTCAGCCTCCCAAAGTGCTGAGATTATAGGCGTGAGCCACTGTGCCTGGCCTTGGGTTAATTTTTCCTAAGAGTGTAAGGTCTATATCTAAATTTTTTTTTCCATTTGGATGTCCAGTTGTTCTAGCATCATTCGTTGAAAATAATTTTTCTCCATTATATTTCCTTTGTTCCTTTGTAAAAACATCAGTTGACTATGGGTATACTTCTGGGCTCTCTATTCTGTTCCATTGATCTATTTGTCTGTTCTTTTACCAATACCACACTGTCTTGATTACTGTAGATTTAGCATAAGCTTTGAGGTTGGGTCATGTCAGTCCTCCAACTTTGTTCTCCTCCTTAAATATTGTGTTGGCTATTTTGGGTCTTTTGCTTCTCCATATAAACTTTAGAATCAGTTTGTTAATATCCACAAAGTAACTTGCTGGAATTTCGATCAGGATAGCATTTGGTCTGTAGATCAAGCTGGGAAGAACTGAGATCTTGACAATATTGAGTCTTCTTGCTCTTAAACACGGAATCTCTCTCCATCTATTTCGTTCTTTGATTTCTTTCATAACAGTTTTGTAGCTTTCCTCACATAGAGCTTATACATATATTTTAAAATATTTATACTTAAGTATTTTGTATTTGGGGGTGTTAATGTAAATGGTATTGTATTTTGAATTTCAAATTCCACTTGTTCATTGTTGGTATATAGAAAAGTGATTGGCTTGGTTGGGCGCAGTGGCTCACGCGTGTAATCCCAGCACTTTGGAAGGCCAAGGCGGGAGGATCATGAGGTCAGAAGATCGAGACCATCCTGGCTAACATCTCTATTAAAAATACAAAAAAAAAAAAATTAGCCGGGCGTGGTGATGGGCACCTGTAGTCCCAGTTACTTGGGAGGCTGAGGCAGGAGAATGGCATGAACCCGGGAGGCCGAGGTTGCAGTGAGCCAAGATCACACCACTGCACTCCAGCCTGGGTGACGGAGTGAGACTCCATCTCAAAAAAAAAAAAAAAAAAAAAAAAGGTGATTGGCTTTTGTGTATGAACCCTGTATCCTACAACTTTGGTATAGTTGCTAATTAGTTTCAGTAACATGTTGTCGATTCTTTTGGATTTTCTCCAACTTTGCTGATGATATGGTCATCTATGTAGAAAATCTTTATACCTTTTATTGCCTTTTCTTATCTTATTGCATTAGCTAGGACTTCCAGTATGATGCTGAAAAAGAAATGGTGAGAGAGGACATCCTTGCCTTGTCCCTGATCTTACTGAGAAAGCATCTAGTTCCTCACTATTCCATGTATTGTTAGCTGTGGGGTTTTTTTGTGGATGTTCTTTATGAAGTTGAGGAAGTTCCTCTATTTTCCTAGTTTGCTGGGAGTTTTTACCTTGAATGGATGTTGGATTTTGTCACGTGCTTTTTCTGCATCTATTGACATGATCATGCGATTTTTCTTCTTTAGCCTGTAGATGTGATGGGTTGCTTGATTTTCAAGTATTGGACAGTGCTGCATATCTGGGATAAATCTCACTTGGTCGTGGTGTTTACTTCTTTCTATACATTGTTGGATTTGAGTTGCTAATATTTTGTTGAGCATTTTGCATCTATATTCATGAGAGATGTTAGTCTAGTTTTTTTTTCCTGTGTACAGTCACTTTTCCAGGCACTTAGCATAATTCACTGAACAGAGCAGACAGAAATCCCTGTCTTCCTGGGGGCTTCCATCCCAGCTGGGAGCAGCCGGCCCCACTGGACATCACTGGGCAGGTGGGACACACAGCATGTGGCATGTGCTACTCCTTCAGATTTGAATGCATCCTCCTCTGCTGGGGTGGGGACTGCCACCCAGGGCCAGCTAAAAAAATGTGTGGACTTTGGGTGGAGAGGGTGGGGCTGGCAGAATCCCAGCCCCCACATCTTGTGAATCCAGGTAGAGGTAGAGGTCTGGGATATCCCCTGCAGGAGGGACGACTCACAGAGCTGTGGATGGGGCCACTTGAGAGCCCATGGCCCCACCACACATCCCAGTGCTGCTCGCCTGCCCATGCCTTGATGGGGTCCCAGGATGGGGCGTGGAGAGCAGCCGGGTGCACACCTCAGTCTTGCCCAGCATGCCATGGGACCAGAGACTTGAATCTGCAGTCCTGAGAACAGCATCCTTGGGAAGACTTGGCCACGCGGCAAACAAGGCCTCTCTGATGAGCCATAAAAGCCCTGCGGAAGCTGGGCAGGGGAGGACAGACTCGTGCGTTTCCTCCTCCCGCAGGGACTTATGCAGCACCTACTGTATGCAGTGAGTACAACAAACAGCAGGCATAGCCCCTCCACGCCCAGGCAGAGGATTCAGTGAGGAGAGGCCAGGAGGCAGAGGATGTGCCAGGCTTCCCTGCGGGCGGGGAGGTGGCAGTGGAGCAGGCTCTTTGCCAGCCCCTGCTCAGCGGCAGCAGGGCCCAGCCCTGTCGGGGACGATGGGGAACAAAGGCCCAGGCCGCTGGCTCTGCAGCCAACCGCCCGGAGGACCAGCCAGTCCACCCTTGCCTCAAGGTCCTGGCGGGCACGCCCAGTGCAGCACAGGCCGGCGTGGGTCCGCAGCACCGCGCCCAAGTCCTCCCTGAGCCCACGGGGCAGAGCTGGAGGTGACCGCCTGGGACAAAGGGACGAAGCTGGCCGCACAGAGGGGCCTCCAGAGCAGGCAACCCAGACACCCGTTGCTCAGATGTCCTGGCCTCACTGGAGAGGTGGGGGCTGCAGTCCACGGGGGTTGGAGGGCGGTTTTTCTTTCCGGAGGGGCCCCGGAGCGGGAGGCGGCCTCCCTTCCTCCCAGCGGTCGCTGCCGGTTCTCTGGAAGTCGCACTGCGAGAGCATGGAGGCCAACACCTACCTCCGCCGTGCCCCGACGACGAAGGCCATCTGCTCGGGCCCGGCCAGGCCTCATCCTCCCCCGCCGCCTCCCCCAGGACTAGGAGCTGCCTCTCAGTGAGAACCCTGGGGAAGTGGTAAAGCTCTTCCAAGCTGATGCCCGAGCAGGACCTCATGATGAGCGGCAGCGGCGGACCCAGAGCGAGTATGCCGGAGAAGGAGCGCGCGAGGGTGAAACAAAGGCCGGGGCCCCGGCGACGCCTCCTAGTGGAGGGACAGTCTGGAGGGGCGCTGCCCTCTTCCTGCGGAAGGGCCCATGGTCGAAGGCGGGCGCACACTCTAGCTCCAGGCCTGGGTGGCCGGGACGTACCTCGGCCTTAGCAGGTTGTGAACCCGGTGGTGCCCCACACTGGCATCAGCACCATCTCGCCCACCTTGCGCGTGAGCTCCAGGGCAGGCCGCGAGCTGGAGTCGCGGGTGCAGGCGCGTCGGGAGTGCCCGGGAGGTCCGGCCGTCGGGCAGGCAGCCGCGGGAGTCCCCAGGGCCTCCTCGCGCACCTGGGGACGAGGAGCCACTTCTCTTGTCCGCCGGCGCTGCGGGACCAGCTGCGGGACCAGCTGGAGGAGCGGAAGGCGTGGGCGCGGAACCAGGTCCAGCTGCCCGCAGGGCCAGCGCAGACCAGGCGAGGGGCGTCCACGTCCAGCGCGCCCTGGGCCGGGAGGCGCACGGCCGGGCGGACATGTCCCTTGCCGAGGGCCCCTGAACGGATGCCAGTCCCAGAGGTGGCGACCCCTTGGGGCAGTAGCCGCCCTGGATGTGCTCCTCTCAGCAGCCGCTGCAGTCTCTGAGGGGCACGTACTCTTGGGGTTCGGGTTGTATTCTTGGGGTTCGGGCTGTATTCCTGGACCCCGGCTCCCGGGTCCGCCGCAGTTGGTTCAAGTCGGGCGCCCCCTCCGGCGTCACCCAGCGCCGCCGCTGCCCCAGCCTCGGGTGCAGGCGCGGGAGCAGCGCAGGGCGGCTCGAGCAGCCGGAGGCCCTGCAGAAGTCGGCGCAGGAGAAGGCGCGAGGCTCCGGGATGTAGGCCACGCCCTGCCCGGTCGCCGCTCTCAGGCCTCCGAAGTGGTGCTCCGCGGGGGCGCGGCTCGGTCCATCAGATGTCCCGGGCGGGGGACCGGGACCGCGGGGACCTGCGGGGGGTCGAGGCCCGGCCCTTAGGGCCCAGGCCTGCTCCTCACTTCCGCCGGAGCAAATTGTAGTTTTTTTTTCTTGTAATGTCTTGTTGGGTTTTGGTATTGGGTCATGCTGGCCCCATAGAATGAGTTAGAAAGCATTCCCTCTGCTTCTATCTCTTGCAAGAGATTGTGGAGAATTAGTATAATTTATTCCTTAATGTTCACAGGTAGAATTCACCAGTGTACTCATCGGGGCCTGTTCTTCCTGTTTTGGAGGATTATTAATTATTAAAGTCTTTAATAGAGGCCTATTCAGATTATCTGTTTCTTCTTCTTCTTCTTTTTTTTTTTTTTTTTTCTTTTTGAGATGGAGTCTCGCTCTGTTGCCGAGGCTGGAGCGCAGTGGCGCGATCTCGGCTCACTGCAAGCTCCACCTCATGGGTTCACGCCATTCTCCTGCCTCAGCCTCCCGAGTAGCTGGGACTACAGGCGCACGCCACCATGCCCAGCTAATTTTATTTTATTTTTTTTAGTAGAGACGGGGTTTCACCGTGTTAGCCAGGATGGCCTCAATCTCCTGACCTCGTGATCCACCCACTTCGGCCTCCCAAAGTGCTGGGATTACAGGCGTGAGCCTCCGCGCCCAGCCTGTTTCTTCTTATATGAGTTTTGGCAGACTGTGTCTTTCAGGAAATTGATCTATTAAACATAGATTACCAAATTTGTGGCATAGATGCTTCATTGTATTCCTTTAATATCCTTTTGATGTCTGTGGGCTCTGTAGTGATGTTCCTCTTTCATTTCTGATATTAGCAATTTGTATCTTCTTTTTTTTCTTTAATTAGGTTGGCTAGAGGCTTATCAATTTTACTGATATTTTCCAAGAACTTGCTTTTGGTTTTGCTGATTTTCTCTCTGATTTTCTGTTTTTAATTTCATTGATTTCTGCTCTAATTTTTATTATTTCTTTTCTTCTGCTTACTTTGGAGTTAATTTGCCCTTCTTTTTATAGTTTAATGAGGTGGAAGGTTAGATTATTGATTTTAGATATTTTTTCTTTTCTAATATATGCATTCAGGGCTATAAATTTTCCTCTAAGCAGTGCTTTTGCTGCATTCCACAAATTTTGCTTCACTGTATTTTTATTTTTATTTTATTCACAGTATTTTTTGTGGCGGGGGTACAGAGTCTCACTCTGTGGCCCAGGCTGGAGTGCGGTGGTGTGATCTCTCCTCACTGCAACCTCCACCTCTGGGGTTCAAGTGATTCTCGTGCCTCAGCCTCCAGAGTAGCTGGGATTGCAATCATGCACCACTGCACTTGGCCAATTTTTGTATTTTTAGTAGACACTGGGTTTCACCATGTTGGCCAGGCTGGTCTGGAACTCCTGACCTCAGGTGATCCCCCGACCTTCACCTCCCAAAGTGCTGGGCCTATAGGCATGAGCCACCGCACCCAGCCTAGTTCACAGTATTTTAAAATTTCTCTTAAGAGTCCCTCTTTGACCCATTTGTTATTTGGAAGTGTGTTGTTTAACCTCCGAGAATTTTGGGATTTTCTAGCTATCTTTCTATTATTGATATCCAGTTTACTTCCATTGTCATCTGAGCCCATCGTATGATTTGTATTCTTTTAAATTTGTTAAAGCGTGTTTTATAGCCCAGAATGTGGTTTATCTTGGTGAAGGCTCTGTGTGAGCTTCAGGAGAATGTGTATTCTGCTGTTCTTGGGTATTCTATCCACGTCATTTAGATCCAGTTGACATATGGTGCTCTTAAGTTCAACTATGTCCTTACTGATTTTCTGCCTGCCGGATCTGGATCTGTCCCTTTCTGATAGAGGTTGTTGAAGTTTCCAACAAAAATAGTGAATTCATTTTTTTGGTAGTTCTATCAGTTTTTGCCTCACATATTTGCCACACTCTTATTAGGTGTATACCCATTAGGGATTATTATGTCTTTTTGGAGAATTGACTTGTTTATCATTAGTCTGCTCTGTCTGAAATTATTACAGCTACTTCAGCTTTCCTTTTTTTTTTTTTTTTTAAGACAAAGTCTCCCTCTGTCACCCAGCTTGGAGTGCAGCGATGCCATCTCAGCTCACTGCAAACTCTGCCTCCCAGGTTCAAGCAATCCTCCCACCTCAGCCCCCCAAGTAGCTGGGACTACAGGCGCACAACACCATGCTTGCTTAATTTTTGCATTTTTAGTAGAGACAGGGTTTCGCCATGTTGTCCAGGCTGGTCTCAAACTCCTGGCCTCAAGTGATCTGCCCGTCTTAGCCTCCCAAAGTGCTGGCAGTACAGGCGTGAGCCACCATGCCTGGCCAGCCCACTTTCGAATAATACTGTATTGCTTATGGGTAGTACAAATACCTTATAATGACAAAATATTCCTAGTTCTTCTCTCCTATCCCTTGTATCATTGCTGTCATCCCTTTCACTTGTATGTCAACTATAATAATTGCCTACACTGTTGCTATTAATATTTTTAACAAACTGTTGTCTTTTAGATCAAATAATAAGAAAAGTTAAAGTTTTTATTTTACCTTTATTTATTCCTTCTCTAAAGCTCTTCCTTTCTTTATATAGATCCAGATTTTGGACCTGTGTAATTTTCCTTCTCTCCAAAGGACTTCTTTTAACATTTCTTGCAAGCCAGGTGTACTGGCAACAAATTCCCTAAATTTCTGTTTGTCTGATGAAAGTCTTTATTCCTTCTTCACTTTCGAAATATAATTTCACAGGATACACAATTCTCGGTGTATTTTTTTTTCCTCTCTACACTTTAACTATTTCATTCCACTCTCTTCTTGTTTGCATGGCTTCTGAAAAGAAGGCTGATGTAAGTCTCACCTTTGTTCCTCTATAGGTTAGGTGTTATTTTTCCCTCTGGCTTCTTTCAAGGTGTGTTCTTTATCATTGATTTTCTGAAGTTAGAATGTACGATGCCTAGGTGTAGTTTTTTTTTTTCTTTTCTTTTTTGCATGTAACCTACTTGTGTTCTCTGAGCTTCCTGGATCTGTGTCTGACATTAATTCGGGGAAATTCTAAGTCATTATTACTTTAAACATGGTTTGTGTTCCTTTGTCTTTTTCTTCTCTTTCTGGTACTCTCACTGTGCATGTTATAGGTTTTGTAGATGTCCCGCAGTTCTTGGATATTCTGCTCTTTCCCCCACACTCCTCGGTCTTTTTTCCTCTTTGCTTCTCAGTTTTGGAAGTTTCTAGTGACATATTCTCAAGCGCAGAGATTCCTTCCTCAGCTGTGTCCTAGTTGCTAATGAGCCCATCAAAGGCATTCTTCATTTCTGTTACCGTGTTTTTCAGCTCTAGCATTTCTTTTTGATTCTTTCTTAGAATTTCCACCTCTCTGATTACATTACCCATCTGTTCTTACATTTGTCGACTTTTTTCCAAGAGAGCACTTGCATATGAATCACAGTTGTTTTAAATTCATAGCCTGATGATTCCAACATCCCTGCCATATAGCTGGGTCTGATTCTGATGCTTGCTCTGTTCTTCAAACTGTGCTTTTTGCCTTTTAGTCTGCCTTGCATTTTTTGCTAAAAGGCAGGCATGCTGCACCGGGTAAAAGGAACTTTTACCTTTTACCCATAGGTAAAGAGGCCTTTAGTGATGTGGTGGGAAGGTGTGGTGGGAAGGGATGTGTTCTATAGTCCTATGATTAGATCTCAGTCTTCTAGTGAGCCTGGGCCCTGGGCTGTGAACTTCTAAGGTTTTCTTTCTCTTAGGTGGGACAGGATGGCTGAAGGGAATGGAGTTGGGTATTTCTCTTCCCCCAGTTTGATTAGGCTCTAATAAAACCCTAGTGGGTTAGGCCCTGATAAAATAGTTTCTTTTGATGGTAGGCTTTGTTAAAAAGCACAGAATGTCCTGGCATATTTTTAAATGGTTACTTTCCCCTGTTCCTGCCAGAAGCACGAGGGGACTTTTTCTTCTATTTTCACCATGAGAACATAGTAAAACTCCTGGAGGTAAAACTCGCAAAAGTGTGAGAGTACCCCTGTGATGAGGTGCCCTGTGAGATAACATGGCGAAACTCTGTCTCTACTAAAAATGCAAAAATTAAGCAGGCATGGTGTTGTGCGCCTGTAGTCCCAGCTACTTGGGGGGCTGAGGTGGGAGGATCGCTTGAACCCGGGAGGCAGAGGTTGCAGTGAGCCAAGATGGCGCCATTGCACTCCAAGCTGGGCAACAGAGTGAGACTTTGTCTCACACATACACACAAAAAGAACAAAAAAGAAAGCTGAAGTAGCTGTAATAATTTCCGACAGAGCAGACTAATCATAAACAAGTCAATTCTCCAAAAAGACGTAATAATCCCTAATGTGTATACACCTAATAAGAGTGTGGCAAATATGTGAGGCAAAAACTGATAGAACTACCAAAAAATGACAAAGGAACCCATATGAGAGCTTTGAACTCTCATATACGTCCACAGTGAGTTTTAACCCATGTGTAGGTTCATGTAGCCACCACCATGATCAGGACACAGAACAGCTGGCCCTGTGACCGAGCTGGGACACATGGGAGCCTGCTTGGCCTGGGTCCCGTAGGCAGCACAGAGCCTGAGGTGCAGGGCTGGTGGACTCCGCGGAGATGCGAGGAGCAAGCTGGGCGCATCCCTGCCTGCTCAGACCACCTCCCCGGGGCCAGCTCTGCACATGGCCCCAGGGGTCCTGGGGCCGGTCCCATCTGGCTGGACCAGGGGTGGGCATGGCCTTTCTGTGGTGGCCACTGGCCTTGGTCTCTTTTATTCCATTTCCAGAGGAACCATCTGAAAGTTGCTGGGCCTGTGTTTCCCTGCTGAGGCGTTTGCAGTGGTTCCGTGAAACCCATAATCTTTGCGGCCCTCCCTCCACCTCCTCCTCTGCCCCTGCCCCTCCCCACCAAGGTTCAGAGCAGACTGGATTCCCCTGACTCCTGCAGTTTCCCCAGGCATCCCGAGGCTCGGAAAGACCCCTGGTGGTTGGGCTCTTACAAACTTTATTTTACCTCCATTTAGCACTGGTTTCACCCCCATGGCACTGTTTGGCAATGGATCTTTCTCTCTAATGACAGTCTAAGTTAGGTGAGACTGGGTATCTTGGCCTACTCCTTCCTGCAACCCCATGACGCAGTTCAGGAGGAGGGGCTCGCAGTTCAGGAGTTAATGCGTGTTCAGGAGCAGGGGCTCCAAGCACTGCATTCCTGGGGCCCCCCTCTGGTTCCACACCTTTGCTCTTGCCATTACCTTAGATTCTATGCCCTTCCCTCCTTTCTTTACCTGTCTAAATCCTACCTGTCCTCTAGAGCTGGTTCAAGGCCAGCTTCTACCAGGGAGCCTACAGTGATTGTTCCTTCCTTGGAATTCCCTCAGCCTTTCCTAGTCATCAACATTTCCTGGGGTGTGGAGTGCTTTCCTACAGACCAGGTATCCCAAAGGTTGGGCCCAGTCTCCGTTGCAGCAGGCATGCCAGTGGGAGGAAGGAGACAGTGCTGGGAGGGGAGGAGATCCTGAAACTCTGGGGAAGAGATTTGGGGTCAGACTCAGTCAGAAAGTGGGCATCTCTGCCCTGAGGGCAGGGGAAAGATACAGCATCAGGTGCAGGCTGATCCAGCAACTGCAGGGCTTTAATGTGGACTCTGGTGGCAGGAATGCAGGGGCTGCGAGGTAATGTGGAGGAGCCCGAGGAAGGGGTGGCTGCCAGGTGCTGCAATGGGAGGCTCTGGGCTCGGGCTTAACCTTGGAAGGAGCCAGCAGAGACTCAAGTTCTGATGATGTGACGGTGGTCAGACCAGCT
The DNA here is from genome assembly GCF_000001405.40 of Homo sapiens. NCBI lineage: Eukaryota > Metazoa > Chordata > Mammalia > Primates > Hominidae > Homo > Homo sapiens. Next base: position 129,039,928 of record NC_000003.12, on the reverse strand, counting down.
GTCAGTGGTTGGGCTGATCATGGAGGCTGGTCCAAAGGCAGTCAGGCTGAGCAGGGTGCCCACAGGGTGGGCCAGTAACCTCAGCAGGAGACGAGGAGGGGGTTGGTGAGCGCAGCTGCTGCAGAGGCTGGTGCCGAGGGCTGTCTCCGCAACAGCTGGCAGGCAGCCAAGGCTTGGTGCAGGGCATCCAGGATGGCTGCAGGGCTGGGCCTTCCCTCTGGAGGGAAACAGCAGGCAGGGAGGGCAGGATCAGTCTGCTCACCTTCACCCACAGAGCCACTGTCCCTCCTTCCTGAGACCCAGCCACTCTTACCCGCTGTGCCCCTCCCCAGCCCTGCCCAGCTTCCTCGCTCTGTGGACCACCTCCCCCTGAGGACCCTGGAGAGGGGACTTGGAGCACACAATTTCTGATCTCCTCCATGAGGGCAGGGACTGCTCAGGGCAGTGGGTGCATCTGAGCTCTGCCCAGTGGTGCCTGGGGAGGACAGCGAGCAAAGGGCTCTTGGTTGCCTTGTCAGCCTGTGAAGACCCGTGAGGCAGGAGCTCGGCCTGGCTGCCCCAGGCATAAGCTGGCATTCCTGCTGTTCTGCTCCCTGAGCTTCGTCTAAACACCGGGTCCATGTTATTGAGTGCTTAAGGGAGATGCCCCAGCCTCGGGCGTGGCCAGCACTTGACCCCTGTGCCTCAGTCTCTTCCTCTGTGGAAAGGGGATAACAACTCATTCCTTCTAGGGCCATTGTAAGGATTCAGGGGTTTAAAAACCCTTGGGGCACCTCCCCCGCATGTGGCTGCAGTGCTGCCGGTGGCGCCCACCCATCCCCTCACTGGGCTTCTGTCTGGCACTTCTGCCTGGGGCTTCTGTGCCTCTGCTCTTGCTAAAAGCCCCTTCAGCTTTCTAAAGCATGCAGGGCAGGAATAACATGATTGTTTTGCAGACAAGATGCTAAGCATGAAGCACACTGGAGTCTCCTCCTCAGGACACCCTCCAGCCACTGCGTGGGCTCTGAGAGACTAGGGTGCTCTCCTACCGTGGGTGGGGTCCCTGAAAGCGTCCAGCGTGCTCAGCAAAATCTTCCCCAGGGCTCTTTTCGATATGTTCTTAAAAAGAAATGGAAACAAGGCTGGATTAGACTGGTTGCTGTGTCCCTGTTCAGCCGATGGGAACTGGTGGCCCCTACGGGCTTCTAGGCAGCTCCCTGGGGACAGATAAAGCTCCTCCCCCACCCTCATCGCTTCTTGGCCCCCTACCCCTAGGCTGGCCACACTGCACTTCCCAGAGACTCTTGGAGGGCGAGTGGGGCAGTGGGCAGGATCCATGCCATCAAAGATCACGTACCTAAGGATTACCATCTGTGCCCAGGTAGACACTGAGAAATAACCCTAAGAGCATTTTAATGCATTTGCTCATTTGATTTTTGCAACAACTTATTTTATTATGCCCATTTTAACCAGCAGAAAAAAGCAATGCTGGGAAAGAATGCGAAATTTGCCAAAGCCACCCAGCTGGGAGGTGGAGGGGCTGCATCATCTACCGTGAGGCTGCATGGCCTATGGCCTCTGCTGGGAACCACTGCCCTTGCCTGCCTGGGCTAGGATTGGCCTCTTGGGGCCCATCCCCAGGTCTCTGCTTGCCTAGGACGTGGACATTGGGCTGGACCTCGGCAGCTCTGGGTCCCAGGCAGCCCAATGCACAGGGCACAGCCCACTTCAGAGCCCCACAGACCTGGGTCTTGCTTTCTTTCTAGTCCTTATAGCCTTTCTCTTTCCTTTTGCTGCACTGGATGGAACCTCTGCTTCACATGAAAACAGTGATGACAGGCATTCTTGTCTTGAGTCTGATTTTAATTTTAATTTTTTTTTTTTTTGAGATAAGGTCTTACTCTGTCACCCAGGCTGGAGTGCAGTGGCACAATCTCAGCTCACTGCAACTTTTGCCTCCTGGACTTTGGCAATCCTCCCACCTCAGCCTCCCAAGTAGCTGGGACCACAGGCATACACCACCATGCCCAGCTAATTTTTTTTTTTTTTTTGTAGAGGTGGGGGTTTCACCATATTGGCCAGGCTGGTCTCGAACTCCTGAGCTCAAGCGATCCACCCACCTAGGCCTCCCAAAGTGCTGGGATTACAGGCATGCACCACCAGGCCCAGCCACATCTGATTTTAGGGGGATTCCTCTGAACACGTCACCAGTCAGTGTGAGATCTGCATGAAGTATTTGGTTGAGAGCCCTTATCTGGTGAAGGAAGATCCCTACTATTCTTAATTTGCTGAGGGGTTTTATAATCAAAGGAGATTGAATTTTATTGACTTCCTTTTCTGCATCAATTGAGATGATCATTTGGTCTTTCTCCTTTAATCTGCAATGTGGTGTATTTTGGTAATAGATTTTTTGATGTGGAATCATCCTTGAATTTGTAGGATAAGTCCAACTTGGTCATGTTGCATTTCTTTAAACACTGCCAGATTTGGTTTGCTAGTATTGTATTTAATAATTTTGCATCCATGTTTAAATGTCACATTAGTTTATAATTTTCCTTTCTTGTCTTTCTTCCATTTATCCTTTTCTGGTTTTGAGAACAGAACCAGAAAAGGATACATACAAGAGTTTTATTAGCTTCTTAAAATGACCTGGGGAGCCCCCCAACCCTATTTTTGGTTGGTTCTTCTGAGCCTCCATTTCTGCATCTGTAAAATGGGATAACAGCTGCCTACTGTAAGGAGAGCCTAGAGCCTGGTGCCTGACACAAGTGGGGCTCCCTCCCAAGAGCTCCTTTCCCTTCCCTGAGTGTGGCAGCTCTCCCGTGAGCCTACCAGGTCCCGGAGCCTCTGCAGGAGCTGCAGCACGTCCACCAGCTTCTCCTCCAGCAGGGACAGCCGCACCCTCTCGGTCTCTACCATCTGCAGCTCCAGCCTCAGGTGCTCATTCTCTTCCACCTTCTGCTGCAACTCTGCCTGGGAAGAGAAGGGGCTCAGTGCTCACTTTGCTGGCCTCTCCCAGCCTTCCAGGTGGCAGGATCAACTACTCCATCTCCCCGAGGCTGGTGCTGAGGCCCAGAGAAGCTGAGTGTGTGGCCTAAAGCCACACAGCGGGTTGGACTGATGTAAGAGTTGTATATTTTGTTTCCCACTCTAAGGACTCCATTCTCCCTTCTCTTCTCTGGTTTTGTTTCTTTCAAACAAATTAAGTTTAGTGGGAAGCTGCAGAAGCCAATCTGGCTAGCTTACACAGAGAGGAAATTTATGGCAGGCTAGTGGGCAGATCCCAGAATGGACTAGCAGCTGGAGAACCTCAGGAATGGGACAGGGTTGAGACAGTGGGAGTGTCCCAAGCCTCTTATCCAAGAGCCACAGCCGAGAAAGACCCTCTCCAGCCATCCCCATCCCCCAGCATGGAGAGCCCCAGGAGAGGGGCGTGGTTGGCCCAGTCGGAGTCTTGGGCCCACTCTTGGCCAGGGGGCCACCTAAACCGTCAGTTGTACCCAGTAACACTAGGATGCCAGGCAGTCACAAAGTGTTTTGTGGCCCCTGCCTTCTAAAGCAGGCATGCCAGGCACGAGGCATTCCCTTCCCCTGGCACCAATGGAGGGAAAGAGAAGCAGTGGAAAGTGTGGTGCCTGAGGGCACTCAGGGTCCACCCTGGGCTTGGGCAGGAAGAGGGAAGGCCCAGTGCCTCTGCTCTTTAGGGATGTGACTGGAAGGCCAGCTAATTTTAGGATCCTCCAAGCCCTGTTTCCTTTAAATATTCTTAGAAAAGGGGTGGCTATGCCCTTCAGAACTTTGTGACTGCCAGTTTATTTCCTGATGGCCCACAACACTCCACCCTCCCCAGCCACAGGGCTATGACTTTCCTGAGGGGTGCCTGGGCAGGCAAGATCAAGGCCTCCAGGAAACCAGAGCGGTGGTGGAGAAAATGTAGAAACAACTTTCAACTTAGGAGACCTGCACAACACAGAAGAGTGCTAGAAACAGGGACAGCCGTGGCGCATGTTTGCTGAGCACTCACCACAAGTGTTCACCTGTTTGATACATGTGTATAGTACCATTATTATGCCCATTTCACAGGTGAGGAAACCGAGGCACAGAAAAGTTGAGTAACTTTTCCAAGGTCACACAGGAAATGGAGTCAGGATTTGAATCCCGGCAGTCTGGCTTCAGCACATAACCGCCATGCCATGCTACTTGGTGTTAGCAGCCTTCTCTGGGGAGTAAGTGAGGGGTGGCCCTATCCCGGTGCAAGGGTTCCAGAAGCTGGAGGTGGTGCAGACCCGATCTCACTGGAAGGTTTAGCTGCAGCCACACTGGCTTGCCCTGTAATGACATTCAACTTTGTTTCCTTTTGCACATTTCAGCAGAATGTTTGCATAGTCCTGGTCTTTGTCCAATCTACTGCAGCGCTCCAGGGCCTGCTACCTTCTGTCTTGGTCTCTGATTTCATGCACTAAGAGGCTGGAGCCCAAACAGGCCCCTCTGCTCCCTCCTGCCCCCAGTGACTCAACCCCTGGCCTCAGGGTGGAGTGGTGTGGCTGCCTTGGTTCAAGGTGGGCACACTGGCGTGGATGCGGCATGGGCTCCCAGCCCAGCCCATTTGACCTCTCTCAAACTGTTTCCTACCTCATTGGGCCCTTTGAACATAAAATAAGACAGAGCACATCAGCACCGAGCGTGTGGTTCATGGGTTGTACAAGTCAGCTGGTATCATTTTTAAAAAGTTATTTAAGGAACTAGGACTTCATCAGGCCATATATAAGTAAAAAGCAGTACAGACTTAGAATTTCAGATGTATAAATATAAAACTATGTCAAAACCAGTTTGTAAAAGCACAGTGGGCTAGGGCTTAGTGAAATGACAACTTTCAACAGCATTGCACACTTGGCTACTGTGGAATAGAGACTTTCCTATGGAGTAGAGAGAATGAGAAATGCGAAGTGGTCGTATTGAAATGGAGACAGCTGGATGCTCGGCCCCCCTTTCCCTCTTCTTCCTACCACACTTCCTTTCTTTTGGGAAACTGCCCCTGCTCCACTTCATCTGACTTTGGTGGCAGTGCCAATCACTGAACCCGCCCCACCACCACAGGGATTGGCCCAGGGACGGGCACATGACTGAGGTGGCCAATCGGAGTTCCTCCCTGAGATTTCATGTACTAGGAATGAGACTCATTTTCCTGTGAGGGCTTCCCAGGTGGGCTGATGGAAGTCTAGGGCTGTTCATGGTCCTGTCTTCCCTTCCCCCATCATATGGAGTAAGCCCTTTTGAACTAGGGGAAAGTGAGGCCACCTCCTACAGAAAAACACAGCAGATAGATGGAGACAATCTGGTCTGAGTCCCTGGACCCAGCTGTGCCTGAAGCCCAGACCATCTTCTTCTCAGCTCCATGTTCCAATATCTGTTTTGCAATCAAGCTAATTTGAGGTGGGATCCTTTAATTTGCAACCAAAATATTTCTTATTAAATTTAAATCAGAGGAAATCACCTCCCTCTGGGCCTTGGTTTACTCATCTGGGAATGAGGCACAAGACTTGGCTGCAATCCCTCAGACCCTTCCAGCTGTGAGATCCTCTAGAATTGCTCCAGCCTTTGATCTCTAGGCTCTGCTGACCTCCTCCTCAGAGGTCCCCAGGGTCCTCCCACCGCAGCCCTGAGTCCTCAGCTGCTCCACCAGCATGGCAATGCAGGCCTCCAGCTCCCCCAGGGTATGGGCATGGTTGGCACCGCCGAAGTGACCAAAGTAAGTCATGAGCTTCTCCGCCGTCTGGTCATCACACCTGCAGCAAAGGAGAGGGCCCGCATTGCAGGGGGCTGCTTCCCAGAGCCCGCTCTGTCCAGCCTTGGAGAGGTGGTGGTGGTGTGGAGTTGGCCTCCTAAAGCAAAGCCAGGCCACGGCACCTGCCTGCCCAGTACCCTCCCATGGCCCCCATCTCACTCTGAGGAAAAGGCAAAGGCTTCACCTGATCTGCCCCATGAGCTCTCTGACCTTCCCTCCCACCCACCTGCACTCACACTGCTCCAGCCACAGTGGCCTCCTGGCGGTCCCGCCAACATGCCTCAGGGCCTCTGCACTTGCTCTTCCCTCTTCCTGGAATGCTCTTCCCCCAGCATCTGCATTGCTTATTCCCTCATTTCCTTCCCTGCATCTCCCTGCCCCGCCTCTGTCCCTGTCCCTGTGTGACCCCTCTTCCTCAGGCCTGTCACACTCACTAGAGGATCCAGAAGAAGAGGCCACTGTCTGGTTTACTGCGATTTTCCCTGTGCCTCAGATTTTGCCTGGCATGTAGTAGGTGCTTTATAAGTGCTTGTTGACATGAAGAATTGGTGGTAAAAACAACCCCAGAAAATCAACAGCATTTTACCATACATTAATAACTGTTGCCCCCACCGGCGTTCCCACCTACTGTGCACCAGGCACCTGTTAGGCATTGTATATCTTTGACCTCAAATCCTCACACAGCCTCTGCCACACAAGTGTCACCATCCCATCTTAGAGACAAGAAGACTGAGGTTCGGAGAAGCCAGGTGACTTGTCTGAGGTGTCCCAGGTGTCCTGGGCCTGTCCTCGGTCCCCATGGGGGTGGAGGTGAGGATGAAACAGGGAGCCAGCACCTGCCCGGGGCCAGGCTGGAGAGCTGTGGAAATGGTGTGTGGCGAGGGGTGATGGGTTGGGAAAGGGTCTGAGAGGAACACTGGTGTCTGGGAGTGCTACAAGAGCTCCAGTGCAGGTGCTGGTGAGAAAGCACGAATGGGAATTAAAGCCAGCCACGAGATGTGCCCTGGAAGGTCATCCCACTTCATCCTCTACATGCTGGTGGGCCTTCCCACCTCCCCCTGAGGGACAAGGGGACAGAGTCGCAGAGGGGCTGGGAGGTGGCTGAGCCAGGCTAACCAGCCTCCCAGGTGCTCCTGGCTTCCCCAGACACCTCTGGAGCCTGCGGCCCACAGTGGCTGACGCTGGACGGGCCACACACCTGCCTCTGCAGCTGGAGAGCCGGGCCAGCAGTGTCTTGGCCTCGGCTGCCGGCGTCTTCTTCTCCTCCTGCCACCTCTCCTCCTCCACCTCCTCCTCGTCAGAGGCGGCCTGGCCCTCCACGGAGCGGAACAGCTGCTCGTCCACTGCTGGGGAAGCACAGGATGTGGGGATGCAGGACAAAGGGTGGGGAACCAGGCATCCCTCCCCAGGGGGACATGTGCAGCGCAGCCCCAGGGGAGGGCTCTTGTGCCATGTCCCCTCTTGAGACAGCCACCCCCACATCCCAGGCTCCTGTGCAGTGAGGCCACCAAGGCTGGTTCTGTCTCCTTGTAATGTGACCAGCCCAGGAGTGAAGCTGGCCAGTCAGAGCCCCTTCCTGGGACTTTACACAGGGACATGGGGAGAAATGCTCTCTTTTTCTTCTCTTTCTTTTCTTTTTCTTTTTTTTTTTAGAGACAGGGTCTCGCTCTGTCACCCAAGCTGGAGTGCAGTGGTGTGATGATAGCTCACTGCAGCCTCAAACTCCTGGGCTCAAGTGATCCTCCTGTCTCAGCCTCCCAAAGTGTTGGGATTACAGGCATGAACCACCGTGCCTGGCTTCTTCCCTGTTTTCTAAGATGACACAAGCCAGGCCCTGTTTGTGGTCTCAGAGGTAAGTGTTATTTCCATTTTAGGCCATACCAACCCCAGTCAGGAAAGGCCAAGCCAGTCTCTTAGGAGCTGGGGTGGGCTCCTCACGGTACAGGCACCAGGATGGACAGATTTTCAATGCTCAGGGAACTACAGGCGTCTAATGTTTGGAGTAGTGTGGAGGAAGGGGGTGTGACACATGTGACTGTCTGCGGTCCACAGTATTGCTTGGCCTTGACGGTGGGCTCCCACCTGTGTCAGCATCAGGAAGCCTGGGGGTCTGTGTGGCCCCCTGGTGTTCTGCTGCCCAACCTCAGTCCCCATCCCCGTCCCCAGGGGAGTCCCACTCCCTCCTCTTCCTCTCCACCCAGCTCCAGGGGCACTTGAGTCAGGCCCGGCCAGGCTGAGTGCAGCCTCCTCTGCAACTAGTTCAGGAAGGGCAAGGGACCCAGTGGGAGCCACTGGAGTTAACCCAAGACTTGGACTCAAAACTTGCAGGGAAGAGAAATGCCCTCCATGCTTCTGGCTTGGGAGTTGAGAGGACCAGGCCTGGAGCCACTGGTGACCATCTTGCCACTATGAGGGGAGTGCCTGCTGTGAAGTGAATCACTGTAGAGCAACGCAGGGCCAGGGGTCCAGACAGCTGCGCTGCTGACACTTCAGCTGTGCCTGAAGCTTGTGTGGACTTTTTAAGTTATGTGAACCAATACATTCTCTTTTAACTTAAGCCGGTTTGGGCTGAATGATCTGACACTGGGAGACAAACGATGTCCTAACTGATACAGCTGTTTAAAAACAAAACCAGGCTTATGACCCCACCCCCACCACCCCAGAGAATCACATGCAGAGATCCGGGGTGGGCCTGGGCATCCATGTTTTTCTTTTTTCTTTAGGGGGGCAGGGCCCCACTCTGTCACCTAGGCTGGAGTGCACTGGCACAATCTTGGCTCACTGCAGCCTCTACCTCCCAGGCTCAAGTGATCCTTCTGCCTCAGCCCCCACTCCCCCTCCGAGTAGCTGGGACTATAGGCATGTGCCACCACACTGGGCTAATTTGTTTGTATTTTTGGTAGAGACCAGCTTTTGCCATGTTGCCAGGCTGGTTTCGAACCCCTGAGCTCAAGCAGTCTACCCGCCTCAGCCTCTCAAAGTGCTGGGATCACAGGCGTGAGCTACCACATCCAGCCTGCATCCATGCTTTTAAAGGTGACCCTGGCCACCTGGCAAGTTTGGGAACATCTCAGTGTATCCTGACCTCCTGATGGCTCTACACACCCCAGATTCTCTAGGCCCAGGTTCTTAGGATGATGGGGCTGGGGAAAAGGGCCCCAGCCCAGCCTGAGCACCTGGTGGGAGTGGGCTCTGTTTGGAGGCTGGTGGTAGCATGGATGCAGACAGGCCCTTGAGAGCAGGGCTGAGCACAGCCGGAGGGACTGTGAGCCTGGCAGGAAGACTGGGCGCACAGGGGACAAACCTTCATCCAGGGCTCTGCTTCCAGAGCTGCTGTCTGACTGCCAGGCTCCCTCTGGAGTGGGGTCTGGGTCTCTGGTCCCAGCATCTTCAGGTTCATTACTCTTGTCTCCTGGCTCTGGGTTGGCTAGCTGCGGGGTTGGGAGCTGGGAATCCTCTGACCTGCAGCCGTGGGAGAGACACAGGCATTGAGGAGGAGAGTACAGGACTCTTCCATTCCCCACTGTACATGGGCAAGCTGTCTATGAACACCCATTGTCACCCTGGCAGAGTCAGCTTCCCACAGTCCAGGAGGAAGTGCTAGATACTCAGATTCCCAGCATCCCTTGCAGCTAGGGCACAGGCATGGAACCCAGTTTTAGCCAATGGGACTCAAGGCAAAATCTTCTGCAACGGATTTTCATCCTTATAAAAAAAAACCTCTAGGAAAAGAAATGCCCCTTCCTTCCTGCCTTTAGACATTGTCATGTGAGAATGTGATGTTTGGAGCTGCAGCAGCCATCTTGTGACATGAAAAAATGTCTGAGAGAATTACTGAATAGCTGAACAAAAGCCTTAATGTCTTTTAGCTGTTGAGTTCATCAGCCCTAGGGCCACCCATCTCTGTACTTCTTATTATAGGGGAATTTTAAAAAAAGTTTTCATTGTTTCAGCTACTTTTTGTTTGTTTGTTTGTTTTTAAGAGATAGGGTCTCTATGTCACCCAGGCTGGAGTGCTGTGGCATGATCTTGGCTCACTGCAGCCAAACCTCCCGGGCTCAAGCGATCCTCCCACTTCAGCCCCACAATTAGCTGGGACTACAGGTATGCGCCACCACACCCAGCTAATTTTTGTATTTTTTTGTGGGGACAGGGTTTTGCCATGTTGCTTCCGCTGGTCTCGAACTCCTGAGCTCAGGCAATCTGCCTGCCTCGGCCTCACAAAGTGTTGGGATTACAGCCATGAGCCACTGCACCTAGCCTACTTTTTTTTTTTTTAATTTTTTAAATAGAGACAGAATCCTGTAATCCTAGCACTATGAGAGGCAGAGGCGGGTGGATGACCTGAGGTCAGGAGTTCGAGACCAGCCTGGCCAACATGGTGAAACCCTGTCTCCACTAAAAATATAAAAATTAGCTGGGTGTGGTGGCACACACCTGTAATCCCAGCTACTTGGGAGGCTGAGGCAGGAGAATCGCTTGAACCTGGGAGCCCAGGAGGTGGAGGCTGCAGTGAGCCGAGATCTACCACTGCACTCCAGCCTGGGCAACAGAGCCAGACTCCATCTCAAAAAAAAAACCAAAAAACAAAAAACAACAGAATCTCACTGTGTTGCCCAGGCTGTTCTCAAACTCCTGGTCTTAAGAGATCCTCCAGCGCCTTGGCCTCCAAAAGCACTGGGATTTCAGATGTGAGTCACCACACCCAACTAGTTTAAATTGCATTTCTGTTCCTTGCCCCCGAAAGCCTTTAATTGAAACATCTCCCTTCTCTGGGCTTTGGGGAACCTACATTACACCCCACCAATCACTTTTCTTGATATTTTAAGGGCCTGACCTTTTGAATATTCATTTTCCATTTCCCTGCAGTTACAAGATAGGGGAGAAAGAAAAATCTATCATAACATGCAAATATTCACTAATAAATGGGCCACTTATTAAACTGGCCACTTTATACTAGCATCTGTCCCTCATCCATCTCGTCGTAACAACCCGATAGAACCCAATATGAAGCAAAACCACATCTTGGAAAAGGGGAGGCCGAGTGGTGTTGGTCAGGGGGACACGGGAGAACTCGAATCGCAGGCAGAGCCACTGATGCGGGGCTGTGGCAGGGCTGGACTGGAATACAACCGAGGAAGTGAAAACCAGCAGGATGAGCACCAGCCAGGAGCATCAGGAGAGTGCTCTGCTGCACGAAGAAAACCTTTAAAAAAGCCAATGAGGCTGGGCACAGTGGCTCACGCCTGTAATCCTAGCACTTTGGGAGGCCAAGGCGGGTGGATCACGAGGTCAAGAGATTGAGACCAGCCTGGCCAACATGGTGAAACCCCATCTCTACTAAAAATAGAAACATTAGCTGGGTGTGGTGGCACGTGCCTGTAATCCCAGCTACTCGGGAGGCCAAGGCAGGAGAATCGCTTGAACCTGGGAGGCGGAGGTTGCAGTGAGCTGAGATCATGCCATTGCACTCCAGCCTCACGACAGATCAAGACTCTGTCTCAAAAGAAAAGAAAAAAAAAAGAAAAAAGAAAAGCCAACAAAGGCCTGAGATATTTTTGCAAAAGGGACCCTCCTCATGGTAAAGCTGCAAAAAGAAAACTTCCAAAAACAAAAAAACAAAACCCATAAAGGTAAGCGTGCACCACTGTGTTCTCACAGTTTTGTTGGAAAAATCACTCCAAAAGGAATAAAAGTCCTAAGTCATTCTGTGTTTGGTCTAAGAATGAGAGCACTGTACTCCAGTCATGGAGATTATTTTTTTTAAGAATGAAATGGCTAGACTGGGCACGGTGGTTCACACCTGTAATCCCAGCACTTTGGGAGGCCGAGGCAGATGGATCACTTGAGGTCAGGAGTTAGAGACCAGCCTGGCCAACATGGTGACACCACATCTCTACTAAAAATACAAAAATTAGCTGGGTGTGGTGGCGGGCACCTGTAATCCCAGCTACTCAGGAGGCTGTGGCGGGAGAATAGCTTGAACCCAGGAGGTGGCGGTTGCCGTAACCTAGATCGCACCACTGTACTGCAGCCTGGGTGAAAAGGTGAGGCTCCATCTCAAAAAAGAAAAAAAAAAAAAAGAATGAAATGGCTGAAAATATTACCTGGTCTTATTAAATAGTATGACAACTCATTTTCATACATTGTAGCTTTATTTTTCAATCTCCAAAGAGTCCCCATTTTATTTTTATTTTATTATTTATTTACTGAGATTGAGTCCTGCTCTGTCACTCAGGGTGGAGTGCAGTGGCGCGATCTCAGCTCACTGCAACTTCCACCTCCTGGGTTCAAGCGATTGTCATGTCTCAGCCTCCCAAGTAGCTGGGACTACAGGCGCCCGCCACCATGCCCGGCTAACTTTTGTATTTTTAGTAGAGTCGAGGTTTCCATGTTGCCCAGGCTGGTCTCGAACTCTTGACCTGAGGTGATCCGCCCGCCTCGGCCCCAGAAAGTGCTGAGATTACAGGCGTGGACCACCGCACCCGCCCTGAGTCCCCATTTTACATGTTTTACATGGACTCGCTGAGTGGACTTCCTATGACCAAATATTATTGGAACACAAAGACCCCTGCTCGGGAGGTGCCATTCGGAGCCATGGCCCCTTGCTGAGCCTCTCACTGCGCAGGTGGAAGCCCTGCAGCACCCAGGAGGGGCAGGCAGGGAGCCTCCCGCGGCTGATCCGCGTGACTGGGGTGAGCCCCCGCGGAGAGTCTGGGCAGGTGAGGGGCGCGGGCTCCCGGCCCGGGCTCCGTCAGGTGGACTTGGCACTTGGAGGGCCCGCGAGCCCAAGAGGGGAGCCAGCCGGCAGCGCGCACAGCCCAAACGGGGCACGGGCGCCGGGGCCCCCTGCAGCGCCTCCCCATGGCCAGCTCCCCGCCGGCACCTCGGCTGCGAGCACCGCCGCCGCCCGCGGGGCCTCCCCGTGCTCATCAGCATAACCCCACCCTGGCCACCGTGAGTGGCCCAGGGCTGCACGGGTAGCCAATGAAACACAAGGAGCGTCTGCAGGCGTCTGCAGGCGTTTCCGGCGTTTCGCTGACTGCCTGAGGGCGCGGAGCATGATGACCGACGAAGCGGGAAGTTGTGCCTCTGAGGGGGCCGTCCGGAGATGCTTGGGGGCTGCAGATAGAGCCCAAAGATGACGGCAAAAGAAACAGGACCCTTAGTAACATCAGTTGAGCTGCTGGATCAGGCTTTGCCTAAAGCCAGGGCTAACCCTGGAATTTCGTGTTTTTTGAGCCCATGACTCTGATTCATAAAATCCTGCATTCAGGGTCCCCCAGTGCAAGCCGAGAATGGGCACGTTGCTTAGCAGCAACCAGTGTGAAAACCCCCGGGTGGGGATTCTTGCTTCAATGTGAGACCGCGTGACTACAGCTTAGGTCATAATAGTTGAGATCTCACTGGGGAGGTGCCAGTATCTCCCTACTCCACAGGCTCCAGACTACAGCCTGGAGAAGAAAAGACACAAGGGAATAAGGTCACTGTCTCCAAGACTCAAGGGTAGAGGCAGGTACCTGGTTATATGGCCCCATAGGGAGGTGTTTAACTGGGGTGAGACAGCAAAGATGGGAGTTGGTAATCAAAGGGAGGCGATTTTAGCTCACTGGGAGGAACAACTTTCTCGCAGGAACTGCTGATGAAGAATGATGGATGTGCTGTGGAAGGCAGTGAGCTTCTTGGCAGAGGAGGTATGTCAGCAGGTAAGGGACTTCAGCGGCTGGAATTGTGAATACAGTTGGAGGTTGAATTAGACATTAATATTGAAATCTTTCCACTATGAGATGCTGCTGCTTCTTCTATTCCCTAAATCATTTAAGGGTTTCAACAAGCAAAATGAGATGGAGGGACAGCTTTTACCCCCAGGGGCCTGTTTAAATGTTTCCTGGCACAGGCTGCCTGGGGTGGACTGGATCCCCACACTCCACCTCCTAGCACTTGCATGTGTCTTAGAAAGCCTGCTCCAGGCACAGCTTCCTGCACGGACAGCAACGACAATACCAACTAAACCCTTCAGAATGTTCTGAAAGCTGTTCTCAATATTTCAAACATCTTCCTCATGAAAACCCTATAACAGGTAAGGTCATTATCTCCATTTACAGAGGAGGAAACCAAAGCACTAAGAGCTGGAGGAAGCTGCTGGAGCCGCACCGCGGGAGAGGTGGGGTCTGCACTCAGGCGGGAGGCTCCAGGCCCACATGCCAGGCACAAGGGAAGCTTGGAAGGCAGGCTCTGGAATGACCCGGCCCAGCTGCCGTTGTCAGTGGGTAACTCCAGGTCACAGGCAGTGAAGCTGGGAAGAGAACAGAGCCATCTGGAGAGCAGGACAGATGAGGACACTCTTTGGAATTTTCCAAGAAGTAAAATGTGGCTACAGAGAAATGGAACAAGTGCTTCCTCAGGGAGCCCTGGGGTGTGCTACTGTTGTCTAGTGACCAGTATTCAACTGCTTCTCCCATTGCCCCTCTCTCTGCTGGATTATTCAGCAGATCAGCCACCCCTCATCACACTCACATGCTATAATAGCTCCACCTTCAAACAAGCAAATACACAAAACATCCTCTGACCATATGACTTTCCCAGCTACCACCCTTACTCTGCCCTACTTGACAGAAAACTTGAAAGCACTGTGCCTACTACACATGCTGCCCCAATCATGTCTTGGTCCCCGTCACATCACCCACGGCACTGGGCTGCCAAGCCCAATGGCCAGTTCTCAGCACGCATTTGACTTGGCCTAAAGAGAAAGGATTGGACATCAGATTCCTCCCTCGCTTACACACTCTTCCCGTGGCTTCCGGGAGACTGCTCTCCTCTGGGATTCCTCCTGCCTCCCTGGCACTCTTCGCCATTTTGCCTCTCCGTCCCGACCCCTAATGCCGGTGAGCCCTGGGATGCCCTCTGAGGACCTCTTCTCTCCTCAGTGTGCACTCGCTCTAGGAGGAGTCTCAGCCAACGCCATGGCTTTGCGTGCCCATGACTTCCTACTTCTTATCTCCAGCTCTGGCCTCTCTCTTGAACCTCGGGCTCAGATCCAGTTCCTGACAAGCGCCCGAACTTAACTGTGGCACCTCTATTTGGATGTCCCACAGGCTTCTCACAGCCTCTCATGCCACCTGGACTTGTCCTGGTCTTCCTCCATCTGCTCCTCCCTCCCTCAGTGAAGTGTGCCATCACCCACTTGACCACCCAAAGAGTGGCCGCTGGGTTTGGCTCCAGCAAGTAGTGCCCAGAAAATCCTCCTGGTTCTTCGTTCTCCCACCCCAACAAAAATGTCACTTTCTCAGAACTCACCTCTCCCTCTGCTATGGTTTGAATGTGTCCCCCAAAGTTCACGTGTTGGAAACCTAATCCCCAATGCAACAGTGTAGAGAGGTGGGGCCTTGAAGAGGTGATCAGGCCATGAGAGCTCTGCCCTCACGAGTGGATCCACACCATTACTGCAGGAGTGGGCTCCAGATACAGGAATGCGTTTGTCTCCCTCTCTCCCTCTTTTGTTCTTCTACCTTCTTCCCTGGAACGGTGCACCAAGAAGCCTATGGCCAGATGTGACATGCCCTTTACTTCCCAGCCTCCAGAACCCTTAGCTAAATTTCTGTTTTTCTTTTTCTTTTTTTTTTTCTTTTTTTTTGCGACGGAGTCTTGCTCTGTCACCCAGGCTGGAGTGCAGTGGTGCAATCTCGGCTCACTGCAACCTCTGCCTCTCAGGTTCAAGTGATTCTCCTGCCTCAGCCTCCCGAGTAGTTGGGACTACAGGTGTGTGCAACCATGCCTGGCTAATTTTGTATTTTTAGTAGAGAAAGGGTTTTACCATGTTGGCCAGGCGGGTCTTGAACTCCTGGCCTCAAGTGATCTGCCTGACTCGGCTTTCCAAAGGTGCTGGGATTACAGGTGTGAGCCACTAGACCCAGCCCCAAATTTCTTTTCTTTATAAATTACCCAGTCTGTGGTATTCTGTTACAGCAGAACAAATAAATATGAATAAGACACCTCTCCTGGCTCCTAGAGCCCTCGTGTGGTGTGTTATGGTGTTTCTCTCTCACCAGACTGGGATTTCCTTGAGGACAGTTAGCACAGGGACTGAGTGGCCCAATGAAGGTTTGTCAAATGAATGAATGGGATTTAGGGGTGGAAGTGCAAGGAAAGGCCAGGCCAGGGACAAGACCAGAGCCTGGGTAAGCATCCAGTTTACTCCTATCACCTATTCACCTGCTCTTGGATTGTTCCAGAAAGGACAGAGAAGGAAGAGCACTAGATCTGGAGCCACAAGACATGGGTTGAGTCCTACCATTCCCAGTTCCTATCAGCTTTGTCCTGTGGAATGGGGCTAAGCCCTCTGTGCACCTCAGAGAGGGGTGGACCCTACGTGATAGGATAATGCAGATTCCTAAGCTGCAGACATTTTTGGTCATTTGTCCTTTTATTTACTAATACATATTTTATGTAGTGGTAAATATTATAACCAATAATGAAAACCCAGCATCTCTTGCCATAAATAGTAACCATTGTTAAATTTAAGAATCAAGAGGTGGCCAGGCGCGGTGGCTCACGCCTGTAATCCCAGCACTTTGGGAGGCCGAGGCGGGTGGATCATGAGGTCAGGAGGTCGAGACCATCCTGGCTAACATGGTGAAACCTCGTCTCTACTAAAAATACAAAACCAAAATTAGCCAGGCATGGTGGCGGGCGCCTGTAGTCCCAGCTACTCGGGAGGCTGAGGCAGGAGAATGCCGTGAACCCAGGAGGCAGAGCTTGCAGTGAGCCAAGATCGCACCACTGCGCTCTAGCCTGCACTCTAGCCTGGGTGACTGAGCAAGACTCAAGACTCTGTCTCAAAAAAAAAAAAAAAAAGAAGCAAGAGGCCATTAGCCTGAGGCTGTCTCTGTACTTTGAGTGATGATCTGAAGCCGAACTTAGTATGTGAAGAAATCAAACTCTAATTTAGAAGCATATATTTGTAACAAATAGCAGGCTGAGCTCCCCAAACCTCTGCTGTCCCTGACAGCTGCCCAATTCATGACTTGTTCTTTACTCAGATAAACTCTGTTAAATTTAATATGTCTAAAGTTTTCCTTTTAACACCCTAAAAATACATAAAGCAAGAATGAAACACAGTTAGTCAGTTCTAGCTAGATCTTATTTTCTGTCTGCCTCTGAACCCGAGGCTGTTCTCTGTCCATTCAAGAGAGGCTAGCAACTGTGAGGAGAAGTTGGAGACTTCTCAGCTCCAAACCACAGCTTGGGAACCGGTGCTGGAAAAGTATGGCAAAGGCCCAACCTCCCTGCCCTGTGCTTTCCGGCCCGCGACTCCCACATTCACCCCTGCCTGCCGCACTTCTGGGCCACTGTCTTTCGGGAGCCATGGGGGAAATGGTCTGGGGGCCTTCTGTGAGCTGCAGAGACACTTGTCACTCAACAGGCATTACTGAAGCACCTCTGTCAGGGCTCCAGGCAGTTCTGGGGAAAGGCAGGCCCCAGTAGCCACCCACCCTCCCCTCACACCCTCACTTCCTGGCAGACCCCAGAGTCCTTGTGTGCGGTTGGGTGTTCCCTCCAGCTGGCCACATCTGCACAGCATCCGGAGGCCGGGTGAGCCTCTGATGTCTTCCTCCTGCTGGAGGCTGATGGCCACATCTGGCCGCCAGCCCAGGGGCTTATACAATCTGACAAGGGCCAGATGTTGCTCTTCCTCCCTTCCGCTGTCCTGGCCACTCCTGGCTCCTGGCTCCAGATCTTCATGTAACAGACCCCTCCTTCAGTTCTGTGATGCAAAGAGGTGGATCTGAGGAGCCGCAAACCTGGGTTCCACCCTCAGGACTGTGGCTTTGCTGTGTGACCTGCACAACTCCCTCCCCGTCTCTGAGCCTCTATTTCATTTTCCTCATTGATTAATCAGTCAACACTGCTGGGGACTCTGTGCTAGCTGGGCCTGGCGGTCCTATGAGGATGAAATGAAATGACATGGTCCTTCTAAACTTTGTGGAGCTCCTGCCCCTGGTAATATTTGAAAATAATACAGGTTCTATATAGATATGACAAAAAAATGACATTGATCCTAGAGGATCTGAAGCTTGGTAAATGCTTAGACACCAGCACACGGTGAGTTCTGGGTGCTGTGAGAGCAGAGCTCTGCGCCTGCCCCGGCCACCTCTGCCCCTCACAGCAGAGGACCCCAACCCTAACACACTGACGCCCTCTTTCTACAATGGCCCTGTGCTATTCCAAAATGAGCTGAATACGTAATATGCCCTATTTTCAGATGTACTTCAAAAAAAAATTAATGTGATGCCCTAATGGTAATTTAAAAGAGAAAGAAAAGGAAAGGAGTTTTATGATATACATTTCAATATGTAAATACTCACAAACAATGAAATTTTCAGATACTTTAACCTGTCTGTGATGGATACATTTGAATTTAAGAGGGGCAAGGTAACATTCAACTGAATGTTGTTGATAATCTTTCCCTATATTTGGCATTTTAAAATATCCAGATTGATAGATGGATTGATAAATAGACAGATACCCGCGCAGACTCACAGTACAAGCATAAGGACTGCCAGTGTTTTTTGTTTGTTTGTTTGTTTTTTGAGACGGAGTTTCAATCTTGTTGCCCAGGCTGGAGTGCAATGGCATGATCTAGTCTCACCACAACCTCCGCCTCCCGGGTTCAAGCGATTCTCCTGCCTGAGCCTCCCCAGTAGCTGGGACTACAGGCCAGGCATTCCCTGCCAGCAGCTTAAGCACCATGAGTTTTGTCACTGTCTTTGATGTGCCTCTGAAATGATGAGCAACTCTTGGAAAATGCCAAACAAAACAAAGTGTGACCTTCCCTCAACTCACACAGCATCGGATTCTTGGAAAACCCTTTGTATATTAAAACCTTGTGGAAAACCCTGTGTTTATATATAAGACAGAGGTGGGCTCCAGTCTCAGATCATCATGACGAAAGTGAGGTTTGCGCAGCATAAATGTCCAGCAGGACACATGGAGCTCATGTGGGGTTTGGGGTGATGCTTGGTCATACAGGATCTGCCCAGAGCCTTGTTTCCCTGGCAGGGCCCCTCATGTGTCAGGAGCACCACCCTTCCAGTCACTGAGGCAAACCCTCCTCCCCACGAATTTCCAGAAAGTCCTGGGGGAGATACTGCTCCCAAGGAGATGCCCTGTTCCAGACCCCTCCCAGCTCTCATGAGGCCTTACATCCCACTGGCCACGGCAGCCTCACCCTGGGACTACGAGGTGCCCACCCCTGTGGGTTTGGACTTGGAGGCTGCCAGGTCAGCACACTGGACCATGCCCCAGCCTTCAGAAGGGTGGTGTCCAGGGTTCCCGTCTGCAAGTGCCCAGCCAGCCTGTAACCTTCCTGGCTCCCTCCCCTGGAGCCTCTGGGCTCACAGAGCCTTTTGAGAAGGGCATCTGGCCTGTGTCTGTTTAATCCTGGGCCAGCCACTCCAATAAGCGTGCCTTACCAAGTCTTTCACCTCTTTGAGACTCAACTTTCCCATCATTTTATTATTTATTTATTGAGACAGGGTGTTACTCTGTTGCCCAGGCTGGAATGCAGTGGCGTGATCTCAGCTCACTGCAGCCTCAACCTCCCAGGCTCAAGTGATCCTCCCACCTCAGCCTCCTCAGTAGCTGGGACCACAGGTGCAGGCCACCATGCTCAGCCAATTTTTGTATTTTTTGTAGAGATGGAGTCTCACTATGTTGCCCAGGTTGATCTTGAACTCCTGGGCTCAAGTGATTCACCCATCTCGGCCTCCCAAAATGCTGGGATTACAGGTGTGGGCCATCTGTCCAGCCTTCCCAATCTTTTAAATGGGAGTAAGTCACCCAAGCTCATAGGGTGCAAGTCAGGGCTAAATTAGGGATGTATGTGCCTGGCACAGAGTAGGCACTTAACAAATATTAACTCCCACACTCTGTTTACAGCTTCCTGCTTGTTCATCTTTCCTTTTCTGTTTCTCATTTTACCCCCTAAAACCTCAAATAAATGCATAAATTTCTGCAGTGCTGTCCTAGTGTTTTAATCTGGCCTGCATCGTCCAATATGGTAACCACAGTCACATGTAGCTATTTAAATTTAATCAGGCTGGTTGCGATGGCTCATACCTGTAATCCCAGCACTTTGGGAGGCTGAGGTAGGTGGATCACCTGAGGTCAGGAGTTCGAGACCAGCCTGGCCAACATGGTGAAAACCTGTCTCTACTAAAAATACAAAAATTAGCCGGGCGTGGTGGTGGGTACCTATAGTCCCAGCTACTTGGGAGGCTGAGGCAGGAGAATCGCTTGAATCTGGGAGGTGGAGGTTGCAGTGAGCTGAGATCATACCATTGCACTCCAGCCTGGGCAACAAGAGCGAAACTCAGTCTCAAAAAAAAAAAAAAAAAAAAAGTAAATTTAATCAAAGTTAAATAAAACTAAGAATTCAGTTCCTCAGTTATGCTAGCTACATCAAGTGCTCAGTAGCTACCTGTGGCTCACAGCTACCAGTGCAGCCAGAAAGCGTTTCCATCATCTCATAAAGTCCAGTTGGACAGTGCTGATCTACAACTTATATTAAAAGTTAAATAGTTTACAGTCATTTTTCCCAGAACTGTAGTTCTCTCTTGTTTGTACTACAATTATATGAATCTAGAATGTGACTGTTTATATAAACACAAAATATATACAAGTGAGGGTCCTGCTGCGGTCTCACATCCTCAAAGGAATTATTGGACTGATGAGCAAACCACTAAGACAAACACTGATGAGTGGACTGACTGGGCTTCTAAATCCCATGTGAGTGAAGGTAGCCAGCCCTCGCTAAACCTAAACCTACCCAGGACAAACTTAAAGCTGGGTCCCTGTCTTCATCACCCAAAAGGGTAGACTCCAGGTGGACTGAACACCTAAAAGATACAATTAAAACAAAAGAATATCCAGCAGAATACCCTTGTGACCTAGGAACGGAGGACCACTCAAGAATTCAAAGGCAAAAATCATAAAGCCAAAAGAATTTGGTGAACCTGATTACATCAAAGAACACACTGGGGCCAGCTGGCATCACTTGGTCAAATCATTTATGTGTCTCCACAAGACCCAGCAACCCCTCTCCTGGGACAGTTCTCACAGCAGGCTGCTGCACGGTGGTGTGGGGGAGGACACGCACTTGGTGTCATCTGGAGTGGCAGGCAGTTGGAGGCAGCCTAGTGTCCACCCCTGGGAGTGGATGGAGGAGTTTGCAGAGGGGAAAAGCAGCCAGAAGATGCACTCGCAGAACAACATTTGGGGTGGGAACTCCAGCGCCGAGTGGGGAGTCAGAGGCACAGTGAGACATGTGCCACAACGCCGCCAATGGGGTGCAAACAGACCCGAAAGACTCACTTCGCAAGAACACATCCCAACAAGAAGATACAGAGAAATCACCGGGGAGGGACTGCCTGAAGGGCAGGAAGGCGTGTGGGAACAAGAGGTGAGAGAGTCCATCCCTGCCCCTGCCCAGTCCCCTGCTCAGAATACATGAGGAATCCCAAGGTTGGAATTGCTGGTCACCAATGACCAGCACATTGTCATTTGACTCAGGGCTGGCATACTTATGCCATAAAGGGCCAGAGAGTAAATACTTCAGGCTTTGAAGCCCATGAGGTTGTTGTCAGAGCTACTCCACTCTGCACAGGAGCAGTCCCAGAAAATATGTAAACAAGTGGACATGGCTGTGTTCCAATAAAACTTTATTCATCGACACTAAAATTTGAATTTTATGAAATTTTCATATGTCATGAAATATCCCTTTTTTAGTTTTTTCCTAGCCATTTAAAAATGTAAAAACTATTCTTAGTTTGTGGATTGTATAAAAATAAGGGTGGAGCTGGACTGGCCCACAGGCTGTAGTTTGCTAACCCCGGATTTAACTGATGACTTCTGCTCCCTATGGAGACAATTTGTCTCCCTATGGAGGCAAACATGTTTAATGAGCCTGGAGAACTGAGGTCTCATCTTTACTCCCAAGGCCAGCCAGCACCTCTGGATTTCCTAAGATAACTAATCCTATTAGGTTATAGAATAATTGAAACCAAGCATCTGGCTGGGGATAAAAAGACCACCCTGAGGGGCACAGGGACCCTCTTGTATGGCCAGGACTGCATACTATATGGTAGCCAGGAGGGAGGGCTGTTATTTTCTTGCTTCAATGAGCAGCATTGATTTCTGTTGTTTGCAGCCATAACTTCCTGGCTGGTACAGCCTTGAGGAACTCACTTCACTTCTCTGAGGTTAACTTTCTTTCCAGTGAAATGTCTGCCTCACGGGGGTGGGCAGAATGTCTAGGAATGGGCCCCCAAGTTCCACACCCTAATTCTCAAAGCCTGTGAGTGAAGTGAGCCTGTCACTCAGAGATGGCATGATGTTCTGTGGCACAGCTGACCAGAAGACGGGATTATCCCTGTCTAATCACACAAGTCCCTTGAAATGCAGATAGCTTTCTGGGCTGGTGTAGAAGAGGCTGTGAGAGAGATGTGAAGTGTGAGAAGGACATGGGGCAGGTCGTTGCTGGCTGGAAGATGAAAGCAATGTGGGTGAAGGAATGCAGAGAGCAACCCCAGCTGACAGCCGGCAAGGAAATAGGGCCTCGGTCCCACGGCCAAAAGGAGCTGGATTCTGCCAACACTGGAACGGGCTTTCCCAGGGGGTCCAGACCCGGCCAAGGGTGCCTTGCTTTCGGCCTTGTGCGAGCTTGTGCAGAGAAGCCCGCCACGCCCGCCTGGACTTCCGGCCTACGGAATTATGAGGTCACAGGTGGGTGTTGTTTCAAGTCACTAAGAGTGTGGTGATCGGCTATGGTTGTGATAGAAACCAAATTCAGCCATCCAAACAACCACACCCCATCTGCTGTCAGCTCAACCCCGACTGTGGCCTTGTGCTCCCAGAGAGACTTGACTGGCCTGAGCCAATCATGAAGCCGCCTTCACGAAGCCTCAATCATGAAGCTTCCTTCAGATTGGTTTAGAAACAGGCATGTGATGCAATTCTGGCCAAAGAGAGGTGAGGGGAAGTCTGCCAGGAGGACCCGTGGATATGGCAGTGATGCCTGAGGCCATGGCAGCTCTCTTGCAACCATGAGGGGTCCTTGCTGACAGGCCAAAATGACAAGCTGAGGAAAACAGAGTGGAAGATGAATCAGGTCCTTGAAAACTTTACTGAACTGCCAAGGAACTGCTCTCCCCTGGACTTCTCACATGAGATAATAAATGTCCTTGTGGTTTAAGCCATTCTGAGTTGGGTTTTATGTTCTTGCAGCATAAAGCATCATCACTGATAAACCACTCACAGCACTGCTTGGGAGTGCAATAAGGTTGTACAGATAAAGTCCTTAGTGCAGTGCCTAACACCCAGTGAGTGCTCAAAAATGTTAGCTTTTGTTCCTTAATCAGTTCCGCCCCCTCCTGCCTCAGGCCCTGTACGAGTCAGGGTTTGACCAGAGAAGTGGGGCCAGTGTGTGGAATCCATCTACAGCCATGCCTGCAGCTGTAGCTCTGTCTCCAGGGCTTTATGACAAGCAGGTGGCCTGTGTGATCACGGGGGCTGGCTAAATGAGTCTGGAATCCACAGAAGGGAAGCTGGCAGGCAGGTGGAGCTCACGGGCACGGCTTATGGGCTTCCCCAGAGGCTCTAGACACGGGCGTGCCCATGAGCTCCACCTGCCTGCCAGCTTCCCTTTTGTGGACTTCAGGCTTGCTTAGCCAGCCCCCACAATCACACAGCCCACTTCCTTGTCATAAAGTCCTTCAGAAAGAGCTACAGCTTGTAGGCCTGGCTGTAGATGGATTCCACACCCTTCTGTCCACAGGTGGAACTTCTCTTTCACACAGAAGCCTGTTTGGCTCTTGAAGCCCACCCAGACCAGCCAGGATAATGTCCCTTACCTAAAGTCAACTGATGACAGACTTTAATCCATATGCAGAATACCTGTACAGCAACTGTAGCTTAGTGTTTGACCGGTTAACTTGCTGTAACCAAGGGAGCGGTCAAGGCATCACATCAAAGCCAGGGGGACGCATCAAAAGCCCATTACACCGCCTGGGCTCAGTTTATTCTGGAATAGATGAAAAATGTCACTGCTGTCTTTTTCTCTCTGCTTCCTATGCTCTGAGCCGCTCAGTGACTCAGCAAGTCTCAGGAAGCTGCAGAGCTGACAGGTCCCTCAGAACCCAGCCAGGCTACTTTGGGCCATCAGGCCACGGCCACGCTGCAGCACCTACTCTGGGAGGTCCTGGAGGTTCGCACACAGCGGCTTCCTTTGCTGCATGGCGTTTCCTGAGTGAAGCAGCCTTACAGGAAACAGAGAGCAACATGTGAAAACAAGAGAACAACAGCAGGAAGAACAGCTTGGGGTAGGGGGGCGGGATGCAGCAGAGGAAGGGCGGAAAATAAATCACAAGGGGTGGGGGGACAGTCCTCAGGGGTCCTCTGTGACTCCTCTCTGGTCCCTACCTGAATTCGGGAACCCCCCCAACTTTACTGAGCAGGGGATGGCGGTGGGAAGGGTGCAACAGGAGTGTGCGAGCAGACACGGACACTCAGCTCTCGGGGGCGCCGTGCAGGGTGTCAGCCTGGGCTGGGTGACTTCTAAGGCCCTGCCAGCCCAAGCTGCTGACTTGGTTCTTTAATTCACCGAAGGATGAAGTATTGAGCCAGCCACTGTCCTTAGCAATGGCATGGCCCCTGACCTCACAGAGCTTACCCCGCAACCTCCCCCCCCGAAGGAGCAGACCTCAATGAAGTCATCACAAAAATACATGAAGGACAGAAAAGTCCAGGGGCCGTGAAAGACGTTAGGAAGAGGCTGTAGATGGAGGTGGGGCCTCCCTAAAGAGTTGGGGTCTGGCAAGACCTGAAGGGTGAATGTGGATTGGTCAGGAGTAGGCTTGGGGATGGTGGAGGGAGCCGTATGCCCAAAGGGCCTGAGAAGGGGAGCCCTGGAGGGTCAGTGTGGCTGCAGGAGAGGATGGGAAAGGGCCTGGTCACTCACAGTCATGATGGTCACCAGAGGAGGTCACAGGAGAGTTGTGAGTGGGCGAGCCCGAGGTGGGATCTGGGTGTTGAAAAGATTAACCTGATGCTGTGTGGTCCGTGGTTCTGATGGAGCTGGGACACCAGTCAGGAGGCTAGGACAGCTGTCCAGGAGTGGTGCTGGGGCTGGGCTGGGTGGTGGGTGCGACTGGAGAGTAGCAGGTGGGTCTGAGCCACTTGGAGCTGAGACTTAGCAGGACTCCGTGTGTACAGGTGAGGAGGGCTCTTCACCTGCTCCTCCTCACTGGCCCCTCCTCACTGGCCCCTCGGCATCCAGGCTGGCTCCAACCTGCTCGTCCCCGTGCAGGCAGTGCAGACAAGCCAAGCTTGTGCCCAGCCCTGTGATTTTGCTATGGGAGTCACCTCCGCCCTGGATCACACAAGTCATGGCCCCACCTTGCCACTCAGGCCTCAATTCCAGGGTCACATCTCAGAGAAGTCTCCTGTGATGGGCTGGTTGTGTCTCCCCAATTCATATGTTGATGTCCAGACCCCCAGAGCTCCTCATAATGTGATCTTATTTGGCGATGGGACCTTTAATGAGGTAATCAAGTTAAAATGAGGTCTTTAGGGTGGGCCCTAATCCAGTCTGACTGGTGTCCTTCTAAGAAGAGGGGATTAGGACAGAAATACACACAGAAGGAAGACCACGCGAGGATACAGGGAGAAGGCGGCCCTGGCTGCCAGCCCAGGAGAGAGGCCGCAGGAGAAGCCAACGCTGCGACACCGCACTCTGGTCAGCCTCCACAGCTGTGGGAGACAAATGCCTGTTGTTGAAGCTCCTGGTCTGTGGGGCTTGTCACAGCAGCCCGAGCTGACTCACACTCCCTGACCCTCCCCTCGTCCACCCGCTTAGTTACTGGTGGTCAACAGCGTAACGCACTGAGAGTTGGTCCACGAGGGCAGGGTCTCTGCCTCTTCCCAGCTGCCTCCCTCATGCCCAGGACAGCATGGGCCCTCTCTAGGCACTTGACAGAATTTGGTTGAATGAAGAAAAGCCAATGGTTATTTCTGACAGAAAATCATGAAGAGGCAAAATGAAGAGCCTGAAGACTCTGTCTGCCCCTTCCTGGGTCTCTGACTTTGGGTGGCTCCAGGCTTCTCCAGTCACCTCGGTCCTCTCCGGAAAAGCCCCCACCCCCAACTCAGAGCACATTCTGACAGTCGCTCCTGCCCCTGCCTAGTCACAAAGAAGCCACGGCCCTTCCTTGGCCAGGTCCTCTGCCCGGCTCAGGGGGACTGGGTGCCATCATTGCCCACAAGTAGCCCCCCATCCAGCCCCCTGACTACTGTTCTTTGGAGAACAGACTCCTCCATTTCTCTTGGCCCATGTGTCGGGCAGGGCCAATGGCGGGAATGTTTTAGCCAGGTCTAGCTAATCAGAGTGGCAGTGATTGGTCCAGAGTACTCACATGACCCTAGGCTGGCCAGTCAGCATGCTCCATTTCCCTGGTACCAGTGACTGGTTCCAGGATGGGTGTGGCCTATGTTGGAACTACTGGGAAAGAGAAAGTGTTTCTGATGGGGGTGATTGGGAGGATAGGAGCTAATCCTGATGATGATGGTAGCTGTCTTGCTACCTTATGGGAAGAATGTCTGAAATCAGAGCCAACTAGGAGAAAGACAAGATAAAGGATAGAAAGAAAGAGATTCCAGGTAGCATGACTTGAGCTCCTGGATCTAGCCATGCCTGAAGCTATATACGCTTGAGATTTTTAGTTGATAAATAAGTGCCGTTCCTACTTTTCTTTTGGCCTAAGGCAGTGAGAGTGCTTTTAGTCATTAGCAACTAAAAAATCCAATATAATATAGAACCCTCTCCATCCAAAGGAAGCATACTTTTATTTTTTGTCATTTTTTTCTACACAAGACCACTTTGACTGTCTATATCCAAGGCTGTACCGTCAAAACAATCTGGCGATCATGATGCCCACCCCCTTGTGTCCTCCAGAGCTCACCCGGCTTGGGTCTGCAGAACCATGTATACTACCCCTGACTTAGGCCAGGTCATGTGAAAGTCCTGACACTGGCACGTCTGGAGCTACAGGACAAGCCAGGCCTCCACCCAGGAACTGGCCTCTTCTTCCAATGTCTCCTTGTGGGTAAATAGCATATCCTTATGTGAGAAGAGATTCTCTCTTTGGATGAGACCACCTTAAATAAAGAAAACCATCCATGCGCCAGGCCCTTTGACTTTCTGGAAAACTGCTACACTACATAAAAAAATGCCCAATGCCCGCTCTTCCACCTTCTCTGTGCCTGGTGCTGAGCTGTAGCCTTTATGTTTCTTGAATTTTCACTTCTAAGGGGAAGTTCATGAGGTGGACATTGATTGTTTTCTGTCTAACCTGCATCCTTTTCTGTCTCCTGGTAACAGCACCAACCTTCGTTTTGGGAGTTGTCCCACTTCTATGGCCACCCAACTCTTGGCCCACTTCAGGGTTGAGCGTGTGCCCTGGTCCGGGCCAACAGGACTATCCTAGTAGCCTGGTCCTGGTCTCGGCCTGGAGGTGGGGCTGTGACCCAGGCTGGGCCAATCCACGTTCTTTCCTAGGACTTTATCTACAGGTGCTGGGAAGCAGAATGTTGGGTCACAGAATTTGGAAAGTCATGAATCTGGGGTCCCTGCAGCCATGTTCCCAGCTATGTGGAGCAGGAGCGAGTAGAACCAGGCAGGGACAAGCAGAGATACAGGTGGATGGAGAGTGCTGGAGGCACAGGGGTCGAAAGCTCATCCGAGGAGTGTGTAGCAAATGCAGGCACACCCCAGGACCAGCTGACAATGACATTTAAGGAGGGCTTATTATGTGCCAGGCATCATTCTAAATGCTTTCTATTATCTCATTAGATTCTTACCCTGTGCGGTAGGTACTAAAACTAACCTATTCTCCAGATGAGAAAACTGAGGCACAAGCAAGTTGAGCTGAAGCTTCCTAAGAAGCATCAAGACACCAAAGAAAATGTGCAACATACATAGGTTAGCAGATGAGGCAGGTCATGGCCAAGGGTGACTGGTCTGGCACTTCAGGCCACCCCATGTCCTTTGTGGCTGCCTCAGGCCTGAAAAGGCTGAAGCTTATTTCCAACCCACCTGTGGGAAGTAGCAGAAAGAGCTACAGACTCGTGGACTGAATCCAGCCTGGCTGTGCCCCTGATTTACTGGGTGAGCCTGGGCAGATTACCATCCCTGTCTAGGCTCCTTCCTTCTCTGAAGGATGCATTTATTGCACATATTAGCTTGTGCAGTCAAGGCCCCTCTCTCTGGGAGGGGTGCAAAGCCTCAGGCTCGAGAGAGGGTATATCTCTGAGCTGTCAGCCCAAAGTGTGGGCCCAGGCTCTGTCCTCCGAGAAGTGCAGCTGGGGGCATGTATTTGAATGAGGGCAGGTTTCTCTGGGGACACCACTGATCAGCCACCTCGACAGAGAGCCCACGGCTCCTCCTCCTCTGCCTCCTTGCTTTTCAAGGCCTGCCCCTTTGTGATCCTGCCCTGGACAGGGCTTGCTTTTCTGGATAGACAAGAATGAGTGTCCCTGCTTCATTCTTTTTTTTTTTTTTTTGAGACGGAGTCTTGCTCTGTCACCCAGGCTGCAGTACAGTGGCACAATCTTGGCTCACTACAACCTCCACCTTCTGGGTTCAAGCAATTCTCCTGCCTCAGCTTCCCAAGTAGCTGGGATTACAGGCACGTGCCAGGACACCTGGCTAATTTTTGTATTTTTAGTAGAGACGGGGTTTCACCATGTTGGCCTGGCTGGTCTTGAACTCCTGACCTCAGGTGATCCACCCACTTCGGCCTCCCAAAGTGTTGGGATTACAGGCGTGAGCCACCACACCCTGTCCAATACGTTCCAATATTTATTAAGCCTTTCATTATTATAGGCACTTTCAACACAACAGCAAGTTGAATCTTCAAATACTCCATGAAGTGGGTATTATTATCATTATTATTCTCATCTCATTTTACAGATGAGCTGAGGCTCACAGAGGTGAGAATGGCTTGCTGCAGGTCACACTCCCAGAGCTCCACCACCACGCTGCCTCCCCCATCACACTCAATGTTTATGCCAAGACAGAATCCCATAGCCACTTTATAGCCGAGGAAACTGAGACTCACAGAAGTGAAGGGAACAGCTCTAGCTCCTACCACACATGTTGAAGAGCCAGGAATCAAAGCCAGGTTGGGCTGGGCCTTCTGAGCCTAGGCCCCCACCCACCAAGCCCCCTGTGCATCCTGAGGGCCTGGGGCATGCAGTGGGTGCCTGAGTGGGTCTGCCTCTTTGTGAGCCTGAGTATTGTTCCTGGAGGAGGAAAGGCCTCTTTTCTCACCAAGGCCACCCACACACCCACCTCCAAGGACGATGGAATCCGAGGCCTCCCAGCTCCAGATGGTGCCCCATGCCCCCTCTGCTCGCCCCCACTCATCTGCCTCCCTCCCACCCTGGACCCGCTGAGTTTGGCCCACCCAAAGGCTGCCAGGTCAGGCCAGGCAGCAGCAATGGGGCAGAAGAAAGGAGGTAGCCCTCAGATGGCCTCATCTTTGTGTCCCCTCCACGGTGGCCAGCCAATTGCCGTCCCTCCTCCCTCCCTCTCCCACCCCCTTTCCTCCATCCCAGCCTTTTCACCCTCCCCCAACAACAAAGCCAGAGGCCAGGCCGCCAGGCCTCTCCTCCCTGTTCCGGCTGAGCTGAGCTGGCTCTCTGTCTCTTCTGTCTTTTTGGGCACCAGCCCCTGCCCAGTGGTGCTGGCCCTAGGCTGCCTGCCCTGCCCCGGTGTCCTGAAGGCCCCATCAAGGGGACTCAGCTGCTCCTTGGCTTCAGAGCAGGGTAGGGGGCCAGGCCAGGCAACTGGTTGAGATATGGGCGGTTTCAAAAGGACGAGATGTCACAAACCCACCAGAGACCTTCTACTGAGGACTGAAGGGGGACCCCTCAAGGCAGGACAAGGCCACTGGACCACTTAGGGGTCTCCTTGTGCTGAAGTCCCAGGCGTTACGCCCTTTCTTCCAGTTTTGAGGACAGCATCCACTCCCATGCCCGCTGGTCCATTCGTGTGTCCACACACATCTTACTGTGTGCCAAGGCTGGGCTGGGTGCTAGGCCACAGAAGTGCCAAGCCCTTGTGCTCCCTCAGGAGGGCTCCCAGCTACGGACAGAACCTGGGGATAACAATCTTTTTCTGTCCACCCTCCCCAGTGAGCCCTGAATCACCTGGATGGGCACAGGTTGGCGAGGTTACAGAGTCCCCCCGAAACCACTCCCAAAGCACCCAGCATCCAGGAAAAGCTGACCTCCAGACAAGCCTGCTCTGTGTCTAACCAGGTTTCCTCCCGGGGCTTCAGAGTTCACAGTCTTGAGCTGCCACAGGTGGGCTATTCTACCCAGACAAGAAAAGGACTGGGCTGCGAGCTCCAGAGAGGGGCAAAGGGGTGTGTTCCTTGAATGTGTCTGGGGTACAGTGCCCCTTGATTCTCTTGGGAGGATCTCATTTCCAGAGTTCAATGGGCCTTGCTCTCACTCCAGTGGTGGGTATGTGACTAAGGTTTGGCCAGTCAGAGCATCAAATTGTCCTGGCCCCTGTGATGAATTCAGGGATGAACATGTTTCCAAGTTGGCTGAATGAGGCCCAGTTCCAGGACTTCAGTGGGATGGTTCAGATGACAGATGGTCTTTCTACTGGACTGAGCTTTGGGGATATTAGCCTGGCACCCCAAGGGCTACTGGGGGAGAGAATTTGCCAGAGAGTAAAGCAGAACTTCAGTATATCGTGGTAACACTACGTGAGTACCTGAATCCAGCCATGTCTGAAGCTGGACATGCCTACACTTTTCAGTTCTAAGAACTAACTTCCTTTTCACCTAGGTCAGTTTGCATTAGGCTTTCTGGCATTCACCCAGGAGACCTGGATGATAGAAAGGAAGAAAAGAGAGAGAAAACAGAGGAGAGAAGAAAGGTGGAGAGTGGTTGGAACTAAGTTGGGAGAAGTGCCACTGAAACACCTTGGTTGGGCAGGGATTGAATGACATTTTATGAATGGTGATGTCAAATTTTCCACATGAAGCTGTTTGCATTACTGCAACAGATTCCCGCCCCGCCCCCCACCCCGCCAATAATCAGTAATGTCTACTATGCATAAAAATGTGTGTGGGGATGGACTATTTTGTGGGATTTGAAGAATAAGGAGCTGAGTTTCTCATCTCAGACAAGGTCATGTGAGTGGAGACCAGCTGTGGGAAAGCAGGATCAGAGGCTGATGTGGCTGCGAGGGGACCAGGAGCCTCTTAGGAGGACTGTGCACCTCAGCAGGCAGGGGCTGGGCCAGGGAGTACCTGAGTCTTCCCCAGCTCTAGGAGGCCTGAAGATGCCTTTTGACACCTGGGAGGCTTCTATTTCACCTGCAACTCCTACAGCTCTGAAAGCAGCAGGAGCTCCTTTGTGGCCCCTCAGCACATGGCACACCTGTGCCCTAACATGTCTACTGCCATTTCTGTGTCCCAAGGATTGTGG